>NW_021160015.1:0-97763 GCF_000001405.40 Homo sapiens
TGGTGTGTGTTGTTCCCCTCCATGTACCCACGTGTTTGTGCTGATGGTCTCCTACCCCCTGTCCCCCTGAGAGGCCCTGGTGTGTGTTGTTCCCCTCCATGTACCCACGTGTGTGTCCTGATGGTCTCCTACCCCCTGTCCCCCTGAGAGGCCCTGGTGTGTGTTTTTCCCCTCCATGTATCCACGTGTTTGTCCTGATGGTCTCCTACCCCCTGTCCCCCTGAGAGGCCCTGGTGTGTGTTGTTCCCCTCCATGTATCCACGTGTTTGTCTTGATGGTCTCCTACCCCCTGTCCCCCTGAGAGGCCCTGGTGTGTGTTGTTCCCCTCCATGTACCCACGTGTGTGTCCTGATGGTCTCCTACCCCCTGTCCCCCTGAGAGGCCCTGGTGTGTGTTTTTCCCCTCCATGTACCCACGTGTTTGTCCTGATGGTCTCCTACCCCCGTCCCCCTGAGAGGCCCTGGTGTGTGTTGTTCCCCTCCATGTATCCACGTGTTTGTCTTGATGGTCTCCTACCCCCTGTCCCCCTGAGAGGCCCTGGTGTGTGTTGTTCCCCTCCATGTATCCACGTGTTTGTCCTGATGGTCTCCTACCCCCCGTCCCCCTGAGAGGCCCTGGTGTGTGTTGTTCCCCTCCATGTACCCACGTGTTTGTCCTGATGGTCTCCTACCCCCTGTCCCGCTGAGAGGCCCTGGTGTGTGTTGTTCCCCTCCATGTATCCACGTGTTTGTCCTGATGGTCTCCTAACCCCTGTCCCCCTGAGAGGCCCTGGTATGTGTTGTTCCCCTCCATGTATCCATGTGTTTGCTCTCATTGTTCAACTCCCTCTTACGACTGAGAACATGTGGTGTTTGGTTTTCTGTTCCTGTGTTAGTTTGCTGACGGTGATGGCTTCCAGCTTCATCCATGTCCCTGCAAAGAACATGATCTCATTTATTTTAATGGCTGCAGAGTATTCCATGGTGAATATATATCACATTTTCTTTATCCAATATATCATTGATGGGCATTTGGGTTGATTCCATGTATTTTCTATCGTAAATAGTGCTGCAATAAACATATGTGTGCATGTATATGTATGTGTGTGTGTATATATATGTAGTTATAATATGTATATATATGTGTATATATATGTGTGTATATATATACACATATATATACATTTACATATATAATATATGTATATATGTATATATATGTGTATATATATGTATATATATGTGTATATATATGTATATATATGTATGTATATGTATATATATATATTTTTTTGAGATGGAGTTTTGCTCTTGTTGCCCAGGCTGGAGTGCAATGGTATGATCTTGGCTCACTTTGACCTCTGCCTCCTGGGTTCCAGCGATTCTCCTGCCTCAGCCTCCAAAGTAGCTGGTATTACAGGTGTGCACCACTATACCTGGCTAATTTTTGTATTTTTAGTAGAGATGGAGTTTCCCCATGTTGGCTAGGCTGGTCTCAAACTCCTGTCCTCAGGTGATCCACCGGCCTTGGCCTCCCAAAGTGCTGGGATTACAGGTGTGAGCCACTGCACCCAGCCCTGTGCATGTATCTTTATAATAGAGTGATTTATATTCCTTTGGGCATATACCCAGTAAAGGGATTGCTGGGGCAAATGGCATTTCTGGTTCTAGATCTTTGAGGAATTGTCACACTGTCTTCCACAGTGAATGAACTAATTTACATTCCCACAAACAGTGTAAAAGCATTCCTATTTCTCCACAGCCTTACCAGCAACTGTTGTTTCTGGAGTTTTTGATAATCACCATTAAGACTGGTTTGAGATAGTATCTCATTGTGCTTTTGAGTTGCATTTCTCTAATGATCAGTGATTTGAGCTTTTTTTCATATGTTTGTTGGCCACATCCATGTCTTCTTTTGAGAATTGTCTGTTCATGTCCTTTGGCCAATTTTTGATGGTTTTTTTTCTTGTAAATTTAAGTTCTCCATAGGAGCAGGTGCTCTAATTGCTTGGAGGTCTGCCTATGTGTGGAGATGAGAGGGCCTCACTGCACTATAATCTCAGCACAGGAAGGTTGGGGAAGCTCAGGCTGCTGATCCAGTCAAGTGGGTGCTCCACATACCTGGAAATCTGCCTGGCCATAGACTGGAGAGGGCCCCACTGCACCACAACCTATGTTTACAAACGGTGGGGTAGCTCAGGATGCTGGTCCAGGTAGACAGGTGCTCCAATGCCTGAATTTCTGCCTGGGGGTGAAGCAGAGAAAGCCCTGCTGTATCACATTGTCAGGGGAACAGGCTGGGGCACCCAGCAATGACACCTGCAGACTGGTTGTAGGTCTCCAAGCTGGCCCTGGCTGCAAGTTTCATCACCTGGGAGAAATTACAGCTGTAGCAGCTTTTCTGTTGCCCCGAGGCTGCGATGGGGGAAAGCACAATTCCAGCACATACTGCTGAGGTGTTTCCCACAATATGGCTGTGAAGGTCCCTACCAAGACCCAAAGCAGTTGTTCCAATCTTTGGCCTGAGACTAAAATGCCTGTGCAGGCATTCTGCTGGGTCACAAAAAGAAAAAAAAAAGCTGACTTTGCATGCATCCAGATTGAAAATGGCATCTTGCTCTTACTTCCTGGTCTGGGAAAATGTCTGCAGCTGTTCCCAGTGTCTTTGCTTCACAGCATCTCCAAGCCTCTCCCCATGTTGACTCCAGGCCTTGGGAGAAACAAAATGCAACAACTTGGCTGGGGTTGCTCAGATTCACAGTGAAAATGTCAGTTACAGAGGGAGGCTCTCTGCCTCTCTCACATACTAGGACTTCGCTCACTTTTATAAGCTGGTTGCTGTCATGTTGACTGTTTGCTCACATTCTCCTTCTTGGGATCTATGATGTCCTTCATGATTCTGGTGGATTCCCATTTTCCTTCTTGACTTAGAGCTCACAGAGTTGACCTTTGTGCACTCTCTTGCTATTTCTAAGTGGCCGAGGCACACTAAAAGCCTCTAATTTATCATCTTGGGAAAAAAACAAAACAGGGAAGTTTGCTTTTGCAAATTGTTGTTTGTGGGGGTCTGTCCTGCAGACCCCAGCTGCACGAGGGATGAATAATGTACTCAGACACCAATTATTCAGTGAAAGAGCCGCTAGGGGGCTGGGCCGTGCACAGAAAGAGTTCTGGCAGCCACGAGCCCTGACTAGCTAGCCCTGCCAGCATTTATTGAAAAAACATTAAATGACAGGGGCTTTTAGTCAACACAAATAGAGGGTAATTAACCTGGTCACCCTCCCCCGAGAGAGAGCCATCCTGCCTGTGAATGATCAAAGGTTGGCTTCAGGACCACATGAGTAAACAAGTTATTTAGATAAACTCCCTTACATTCCTTTGCACCTACTTTAAGCTATTTACTCAAGGAAGGATTAGGCCGCCTTCATTCAGATCTATTACTGAAGCTATACAACACCCCCAGCCTTCCATGAAGGTTTGTGTCGATTTCTTATAACTATCTTTAAAATTTTTCCCACCAGCCTGACTGAACTCCCACAGTTGTTGCTACTTTTTGAAATTGAAATACTTCTAGGAAGACTGATTAAGAACAATATAGAGAAAAGACATATTTTTCAAACTCCTGATGAAGAAGAAACATCCGTATTAATATATAGCTAATAAAAAGATAAGAGATGTTGTGGAAAATTTCATACAAGGGTGCCCACTCTCAGAACTTCTATTCAACATAGTACTGGATGTCCTAGCCAGAGCAATTAGGCAAAAGAAAGAAATAAAAGGCATGAAAATTGGAAAGGAAGAAGTTAAATTGTTTCTGTTTGCAGTTGACATGATCTTATATATAGAAAACACCAATAACTCTGCCAAAAAATTTAGAATTCATAAATGAATTTAGTAAAGTTGCAGGATACAATGTGAACATACAAAATTCAGTAGCATTTCTACACATCAACAACAAACTATACAAAAAAAGAAATCAAGAAAACAATCCTATTTATAATAGCAACAAAAAATACTTAGATGTAAATTTAAACAAAGAGGTGAATGATCTTTACACTGAAAACTACAAAACATTGATGAAAGCAATTGAAGAAGCCACAAATAAATGGAAAGATATCTCATGTTCATGGATTGGAAAAAGTAATATGTTTGAAATGTTCATACTATCCAAAGTGATGTACATATTGAATGCAATCTCTACCAAATTCCTATGACATTTTCCCACAGAAATAGAAAAACAACTCTCAAATCTGTATGGAATCACAAAAAACTCTGAAAAGCCAAAAGAATCTTGATCAAAAAAAGCAAGGCAGGAGATATCACATTACCTGACTTCAAATTATACTACATAGCTATAGCAATCGAAACACCATGGTACTGGCATAAACGCAGACACATAGACCAATTACACAGAATAAAGAGCCCATAAATAAATCTACATATTATAGTCAATTGACTTTCAACAAAGGTGCCAGGAACACACATGGGGAAAGAACAGTCTCTTCAAAAAAATGGTGTTGAGAAAACTGAATGTCCACAAGATTGATATTAGGCCCTTATTTCATACCATATAAAAATATAAACTCAAAATAAGTTAGACTTAAATGTAAGACCTAGCACTATAGAACTCCTAGAAGAAAACAGGGGAATAACTCCAAGACATTGGTCTGGGCAATAATATTTTATGATATGACTCTAAAGCACAGGCAAGAAAAGCAACAAAACACAAATGGAATAGCATCAACCTAAAAAGCTTCTGCACAGCAAAAGAAAGTCAACAGAGTGAAGTGATAACCTACAAAATGGGAGAAATTATCTGCAAACTATACATTTGATAAGAGGCTAATGTCCAAAATATCTTAGGAACACAAACAACTCAATAATAAGAAAACAGGGAACCCTAATGAAAAATTGACAAAGGATCTAAATAGACATTTCTCAAAAGAAGACATACAAATGGCCAACAGATATATAAAAATGCTAATTATCACTGATCATCAGAGAAATGCATATTAAAACTACAATAAAATGCCATTTCACATCCGTTAGAATGGCTGTTACAGAAAAGGCAGAAGATACCAAGTGTTGGAGAGGATGTGGAGAAAAGGAAAACCTTGTAATTGTTGAGAATGTAAATTATTTCAGCCATTGTAAAAGACAGTATAAATGATTCTGTAAAAATAGAATTACCATATGATCCAGTAATGCTATTTCTGGGCATATATTAAAAAGATATCAAATCAGTGTGTCAATGAGTTATCTGTACTCCCATATTTATTGTAGCATTATTCACAACAGCCAAGATGTGGAATTAACTTAAGTATCCATCGACACATGAGTGGATGAAGAAAACGTGGTACACATACACAATAGAATAGTATACAACCTTAAAAAATAAAAAAAGTATCATTTGTGACAACATGAATGAACCGGGAGGACATTATACTGAGTAAAATAATCCAGGCACAGAAAGCCAGATACTGCATAGTCTCACTTGTATGTGGAGGTCTAAGAAGGCTGAACACATAGAAGTACAGAGTAGAATGATGGTTACCAGGAGGATTGGGTAGATGTTGGTCGAAGGGTACAAAATTGCATTGTACAGGAGGAATGAATTCAACAGATCTATTGTGCAATATGGTGACTATAGTGGATAACAATGTATTGTTTTTAAATTTAATTTTTGTGGGTACATAGCAGGTGTATACATTTATGGGGTACATGAAATATTTTGGTACAGGCATGCAATGTACAATAAGTACATAATGGAAAATTGGATATTCATCCCCTCAAGCATTTATTATTTGTGTTATAAACAATCCAGTTATACTCTTTCAGTTATTTTTAAATGTATAATTGAATTTTAGACTGCAATCCCCCTGTTGTGCTATCAAATACTAGGTCTTATTAAATCTTTCTTTTTTTGTACCCATTAACCATCCCCCACCTCTCCCAACCCCCACTACCCTTCACAGCCTCTGGTATACTTCCTTCTACTCTCTATCTCCATGAGTTCAGTTGTTTGCTTTTTGGATTCCACATATAAGTGATAACACATAGTATTTGTCTTTTTGTGCCTGGCTTATTTCACTTAACATAATGACCTCCAGTTTCATCTATGTTGTTGCAAATGACAGGGTCTCATTCCTTTTTATGGCTGAATAGTACTTCATTGTATATAAGTACCACATTTTCTTTATTCATTCATCTGTTGATGGACACTTAGGTTGACTCCATAACTTCGCTATTGTAAATAGTGCTGCAACAAATACGGGAGTGCAGATATCTCTTCGATATACTGATTTCTTTTTTGGGGGGTATATATGCAGCAGTGGGATTGCTGGACCACATGGTAGCTCTATTTTTACTTTTTTGAGGAGCCTTCAAACTGTTCTCCATAGGGGATGTACTTGTATTCTTCAAAATTGCTAAGAGTAGATTTTTAAGTGTTCTCATAAAAAAAGATAAGCATGTAAGGTAATGCATATGTTAGCTTAACATGGCTATTTTACAATGAATATATATTTCAAAACATATAATTTTATTTATCTGATAAAATAAATATAAAATATGAAACTTTATATTAATAAATTTGACAATCATAAGGAATGGTCAAGTTCCTATGAAAAACACCTACTTTTATGAAATGATCAGAAAAAAACTAGAAAAACTGAGTAGTTTTTTTTTCATTGTAGAAATTTTATTTAGAAAATTTTTTTTTCCTGTAGAAAGAACTCCAGGGCTAGGTGGATGCAATATTTAATAAAGAAATATTACCAAATATTTAATAAAGAAATAATGCCAATGTTACATGAATATTTTTAGAGAATTGGGAAGACATAACACTTTCCAACTTGTTTTATATGGTGGTACCTCCATGATAATAAAACCATACAAGGATATTAAAAGAAATGAAATTACAGACTAATATACTACATAATAATTCTAAACAAAAATGTTTGCAAATATCCAACAATATACTCCAAAGAAAAATACATCGTGACTAAGTGCAGTAATTTCAAGAATGTATGGTTTAAAATTAGAAAACCAAACAATGAAATTAACCACATTAACTGAATAAAAGAAAAAAATATGGTTATTTCAATAGCTGCGGGTAAAGCACTTGTTCACATTTGAAACTATTTGTAATAATAACAAGCTAGGAATAGAAGAGAACTGATGTAAATATCTTAATATATACACAAAAACTACTCTCAACATTATAAATAATCATGACATATTAAACAGTTTCATTCTAACACGAGGAACAAGGTACACATGTCCAGCTCAACACTTTATTCATCATTAAAATAATACTGTGCAGTAAAATTAACAAGGAAAATTTTTAAAAAGAACACAAAAGAAAACTACAAATCCTTATCCCTGATCAACACAGATGTAAAAATACTCAACAAAATTCTAGCAAACTGAAGCTAACAGCACATCAAAAAGATAATTCATCATGATCAAGTGGGCTTTATTCCAGGGGTGCTTGAATGGTTCAAAATAGACAAATCAATAAACATGATTCACCACATAAATGGAACTGAGAACAAAAACCCTATGATCATCTCATTAGATGCAGAATAAGCATTTGATAAAATCCAACATCTGTTTATGATAAAAACCCTCAACAATATAGGTATAGATGGAGTATACCTCAAAAAATGAGTCATCTATGACAAAGCCACAGCCAACATCATCCTGGATGGGCAAAAGTTGGAAGTGTTGCTTCTAGAAACTGGAAAAAAGCAAGGATGTTCACCTTCATCATTCCTATTCAATACATTACTGGAAGTGCTAGCCAGAACTATCAGAAAGGAGAAAGAAATAAAAGGTATACAAATTAGAAAAGAAGTCAAATGATCTCTGCTCACTGATGACATGACTGTAGGCCTGGAAAACCCTAAAGTCTTCAGAAGACTCCTAGACTTGATACACGACTTCAGTAAAGTCTTGGGATAAACAAGCCACAAAAATCAGTTGTATTTCTATACACCAAAAACATTCAAGCTGTTTGAATGTTTGTTGAGATTAATTTGTTGAGAACCAAATTAAGAACTCAACTGAATTTACAATAGCCATGAAAAATACCTAGGAATGCATAACTATATAAATGAAAGATCTCTACAAGGAGAACTACAAAATACTAATGAAAGAAATTATAGATGACATAAACAAATGGAAAAACATCCCATGCTCATGGATTAGAAAAATCAATAGCTAAAGTGACCATATCACCCATACAATCTATAGAGTTAATGCAATTCCCATCAAATTATCAACGTTATTTTTCACAAAATTAAAAAAAAATCCTAAAGTTCACATGGAGCCAAAAAAGATCCCAAATAGCCAAAGCACTTCTAAGCAAAAAACAAAGCAAAACAAAACAAAGCCCCCAGAGCAAAAGACAAATATGGTTCCTACAAATGAAGACCAATGGTAATGCTTATCTGTTCGTGGTAGAAGTGTGAATTGGTAGGATTGTTAAAAAAAATAGTGTAGCATTTCATGGTAATGTTGAATAACTCAATAATTTTACTTTTAAATATATACCCCAGAGGATATCTTGCACATATGAACCAGGTGATTTACAAAAGAATGTTCATAGCAGCATTGTTTGTAATGGTTAAAAACTGGAAAAATTTCAAGTGTTCATCAACAATAGATCTGAGGAATGAAGTCCGACATATTCATGTAGTGGAATATCATATAGCAATATGAATGGATGAATTACAGCAACATTCAACAAGGTTGTAATATGCAAACTTATTGAATCAAGGTGAAAGTACCTTCTGATAAAGGTGAAAGAACTTCTACAAAATAATTTCATTTATATAAGTTTCAAAGAACCAAACTAAATAATGCATCACTTGAGAACCATTAAAGTCTATTAAAAAACACATACAATGCAATGGAAGGACAGTGGTCATATCCAGCAGGAAATAAAGGAGAACACAATTGGCAAGGAGCACCCAATGGGTGTCTAAGGCACTAGTAAAGTTCTATTTTGTTTCCAATCCTCCAAGACATCTAGTTTTTTTATTTTTCTGAGACATGGTGGCCCAGGCTGGAGTACGATAGTGTGATCTTGGCTCACTGCAACCTGTGTCCTGGGCTTAAGTGATCCTCCCACCTCGGCCTCCCAAAGTACTGGGATTACAGGTGTGAGCAACCATGGCCGGCAAATGTTCTATTTCATATCCTGTATGGTGGACACATAGATGTTCTCTTTTTTATTATTCCTTGAACACTAAGTATATGTTTTTTTATATTCTCTGTGGAATACCTCCTTATTTCTCAGTCAATTCAGGATACCTCCTTACCCCCATCCCCTTTTTACTTTTCGTCATGTCATATAGTTTCTGAGATATAGAAAAGCTTACATATTATCCTGTCATCAGAGCGGCATGGAGGCATTTGGTAGAATAAATATTATTTGTTGATTATTCATCCTTTCACTTTACAGAGTCAATCAAACACCAGGTCATGTTAATTTTACTGTCACACACATTTCTTGAATTTGCCTCCTTATCTCTATTTCCACTATTCAGTTCAGACCTTGATCATCACTCATCTGCATTGTAGTTGCATTTTTCTAATTATTCTGTTTCTAGTCTTGTTCTAAAATCTTTTTTCCTCCCACAATGCAGCTAGAGTGGTCAATTTAAAGCATCATCTATCTCAAGAACAAAAAACCAAACACCGCATGTTTTCACTCATAGGTGGGACTTGAACAATGAGAACACGGACACAGGAAGGGGAATATCACACACCGGGGCCTGTTGTGGGGTGGGGGGAGGGGGGAGGGATAGCGTTAGGAGACATACCTAATGTAAATGATGAGTTAATGGGTGCAGCACACCAACATGGCACATGTATACATATGTAACAAACCTGCATGTTGTGCACATGTACCCTAGAACTTAAAGTATAATAAAAATAAATATTAAAAAAAGAAGCATCATCTTTATTAAAACATTTAATGGTCCGACTATTCCTTATGCTATAAATTTCTTATAATTTAATAAATATTTTTCCGTAATTGTGACTCTCTTCTATAGCTCTTGTTACTCCCGATATTCTTCTAATTATCAGGCAGCAGTACAAAGCTGCTTACACCTCTTTACACATCTCTTTATTTTAGGCCTCCTTGCATTTGCTCATGCTGTTCCTTTTTGTTTGAAAAGCTTACACATTTCTTCATTTGGTTAATCCTTGCACACTTTCAAGACTCATTTGAGGCCTCATTGACTTTGGAAACCTTCCCTGTAATCTTGTATTATTAACTTATCTTAGTTTTCACTTATTAGCTCTTATTAGATTACTGTCCTTACGTGTGTAACTCTCCCACTAGACAGTAAGCTTTTGGACGGCAGAGATGATGTCTCATTCATCTTTGCATCTTTAGCGCCCAGCCTGGTTTCTGGTTTCCTATAGTCACTCAGTGTTGAGCTAAACCATATTTTTGGGGCAATGACTTGACAATGCAGTATCATGATGGAACTATCACAGATGGACAGAATGAGTCTCTTGATTCCTACATTTATTTTTCTATTGATATAGCTGATTTAAAAAGAAACCTCTGTTAATTATATAATCATGTAATTACCCTGACATAACATCAAACTCCATAAATTACTTTCCATCTCTGCCTCTCTCTCTTTCTATATATATAACATATACATGTTACAAAAATGCACAGGGAATAAATATGAGCAAAATGGTAAGAAGTGCAGGTTCTAGGTCAGATTTCCTGCATTTACTTGCAGGCTACGCCAACTTTAGAGAAAAGATTTAGTGAAAAATAAAAATGAATCATTAATACACCACTTGGCACCGATAAGTTATTCAGTAAACATTAACATATGTGCATTTATGTTTAACCAGGGGCTTAAGTGATTATCCAGAAATCTCCCTCTCTTTGACTATGTTTGAATATTAGATACTTCTTAATTTATGTTTGCTCTGAATTTGTTTTTTTTCACTCGTTGTATACTCATGGACCATTTTATGTGTTTCAGGAATTGAAATTTTATTTAAAAACTGTTACTATAGAAATTAACTTTTGGATAGTCCTGTTCAGACTAAAACTATCATTTGTAAGATCTGTATTACTGCAATCATTGGTGTTAATACTTTGCATTAATTAAAATTTTTTATGGACATATAATAAGTATTTCTCCCACCTCGATTTTTGTGGCTATCATTTTATTCATTCCATTGCTTTTTTCTCCCAGTTTGCTATGAGGAAGTTGATAAGTACGTAGGCAAAACGATAGATTGTTTTGGCAGCTTCAGTGTATTTAAGTGCCTGTGATGAGGCTATGGTTTATTTTTCTAATGTAGAATTCATAATGTAGAATAAATTTTAAAAACATAAATTTTTTTTCCTGCACATTGTGCACATGTACCCTAGAACTTAAAGTATGATAAAAATATACATATATAACAAATTAATAACATAAATTTCTTTGCACAGCTTTTTCTTTCTGCTATTTTTATTCAATGATTATTTGCTTCCCTTGTTATTTAAGAGCTGACTTCTGGCTTCATGGCCAAAAATAAAATTCTTAGTAGGAGAAAGTAAATGTAATTTACTGATGAAGATGCCACCCCCAAGTGACCCATTAACCACTTTCCCTACGTTACCCTGGGACAACCAAAGTGATTCCAGGAGGCAATTCCCGTGACAAGTGATTTCTGGCTGGCAATGCCAGGTCTCTGAAGTTCCACTTGGCCACTGCCCAAGAACAATTAGTGCCGTTAGTTAACTACCTTTACTATGACAGCATTTTGTGTAACTCTTTGCACAGGGGAGTTTTATGCAACAGACAGAAACTTTCTGAGTTGTTCTGATTGCCTGAAGATGCCCTGTTTTAGAGGAGCAAAATTTTCCCTGTTTACTGTGTTTCAGTGTTAAAAATATGAATGCATTGTCAGGATTAGCTCTGGCAATGGTAGTTAAATGCAGATATCCAGACAAAGGAGGTTATAGATTGGAGACTTTGTGCTACTTGATAATGAAGCCTTGGTTTTGATTTTATTTATTTTTAAGTTGAAAAACAAAACACACACACACACAATACAAAACATGGCACAAAACAAACTTATAGTTTGATTTTTGTAAACATCCCTGTAATCATCACATAAGTCAAGATATAGGACTTTGCCAGCCCTGAAGCATGTGACTCTCCTCAGTTGCAGCCACCTTTCTCCTGAAAAGTAACGATAAACATGACTGTTCCAGTAGAGGTGTCCTTGCATTTTCACGGCTGTGTCCTTCCTGCATGCATTCCAAGACACTATGATTTAGTCTTGCCCATTTGTTTTCATTTGTCGTGTTTTTAAAATCCCTTCTAACATACAGGTTTCTTTTCAAAGTTTTCTTTCCCATACAATATATTTGTTGAAAAATTTGGGATTTTTGTCACTTGGTGTCCACACTGTGAAATTTGCTGGTGAGACTCTCAGTGAAGATCGACATTTTCACTATCCTTTGCGTTTTATCCAAATGACAGTTGAATCCAGAGGTTTGACTAGGACACGTGCTTGGTTCTATTTTTGGTAAGATTGTAGGTGATGGTGTGTTCATTCACCAGGAGGTTTAATTATGGCTTTTATCTTAGCACCTACTACTACTTTCTACTAACACCTGTTAATACAAAGAAAGTTAATATTTTCTACTAGCACCTGTTAATTTTGTTGATCTCTGTATAATTTTTTAATTCTCAATTTCATTTATCTCTGCTCTAATCTTCATTTCCTTCCTTCTGCTAGCTCTGGATTTTGTTTGCTCTTCCTTTTACGGTTTATTGAGTAAAGTTTGGTTATTGATTTGACATGTTTCTTTTTTAAAATGTAGGTGTTACAACTCTGAGCACTGCTTTTGATATATCACACCCATCTTGTTATATATTTGTTTTCAATCATCTCTAAACATTTTCTAATTTCCCTCATGATTTGTTCTTTGATTCATTGGTTGGTAAATACTGTGTTGTTTAATTTCCAAATATTTGTAAATTTTCTAGTTTTTCTTTTGTTATTGATATCTTATTTCATTCCATTGTGGCCAGTGAAGATACTTTGCATGATTTCAATCTTTTTAAGTTTATTGAGCTTATCTTATGGCCTAACGTATCATCTGTGCTGGAGAATGTTCCATGTTCACTTGAGAAGAATGTGTATTCTGCAGTTTTTGAGAGAAGTGTTATCTATAGTTATTGCTTATAGTTTTATTCAAATCCTCTAATTCCTCCCTTGATATTTGCTCTGGATGTTTTATCTTTTATTTAAAGTTGGGTTTTCAAATGCCCAACAATTTTCGTGGAATTGTCTGTCTCTCCCTTTAATTCTCTCAATGGTTACATTATATATTTTGGAGCCCTGTTAGTTGGTGTACATATATTTATAATTGTTATATCTTCTTAATTAATTTTGAAATCAATATATACTGTTCTTTGTATTTTGTAACAGTTTTTGACTTAAAGTCTATTTTGTCTGATATAAGTATATTTGCCTCAGATCTCCTTTGGTTATTACTTACATGGAATATTTTCTCCCATCTTTTCATTTCAACTCATTGTGTATTTTGATCTAAAGTGAGTATCTTGTGGACAATATAGTTGGATCATTTTTAAAAAATCCATTCTGTCAATCTCTTTCTTTGGATTGGAGAGTTTAATTCATTTGTATTTAATGTAATTACTGATAAAGAGGGGCTTACTCCTACCATTTTGCTTTTGTTTTCTGTATGTCTTATACCTCCTTTGTTCCTAATTTCCTCAATTATCGCCTTCTTTTGTGTTTAGTTGCTATTTTGTAGCATATCACTGTGTTTACCCTCTGCTTTCCTTTTCTGTATTTTCAAAAGATATTAACTTAGTGGTTACCATGGGGATTTACAATTAACATTCTTAATTTGGAACAATTTAGAGTAAATTGAAACAACTTCAATAGTATACAAAATCTCTATTATTATTTAGTTTCCTATGAATTTCTTTATGTTGGTAATTTCACAAACCACATCTTTATACATCATGCTTCATTAACATAGATTTATAGTCATTATTTTACACATTTGTTTTAAAACATATAGAATATTAAAAAAGACTTACAAAAATGTGATAATTGCTTTTATATTTACCTATGTAGTTATCTTTACTGGAGTTATTTCTTTATGTGGTTTTGAGTTACTTTCTAGTGTTTTTTAGTTTGTATGTGAAGGAGTCTTTTTTTTTAAAGTGTATCTTGAAGTACAGCCTACCAAACATGAACTTTTAAAGCTTGCTTGCTTTTCTTTCTTTCTTTCTTTCTCTTTCTTTCTTTCTTTTTTCTTTCTTTCTTTCTTTCTTTCTTTCTTTCTTTCTTTCCTTCTTTTTCTCTCTCTCTCTCTCTCTCTTTCTCTCTCTTTCTTCCTTTCTTTCTCTTTCTTCTTTCTCTTCTTTCTTTCTTTCTTTCTTTCTTTCTTTCTTTCTTTCTTTCTCTTTCTCTCTCTCTCTCTTTCTTTTTTTTTAATCTGGGAATGTGTAATTTATCCTTAATACTTGAAGGGGCATCTTCCAAGTTATAGAATTTTTGGTTGACAGTGTTTTTTTCTTTCAGAACTTTAAAATGTCATCCTAAGCTCTTCTGGCACCCATGGTTTATAATGAGCTCTCTGCTGTCAAACTTACTGAG
Source organism: Homo sapiens (assembly GCF_000001405.40). Taxonomy (NCBI): domain Eukaryota; kingdom Metazoa; phylum Chordata; class Mammalia; order Primates; family Hominidae; genus Homo; species Homo sapiens. The sequence goes on from NW_021160015.1 coordinate 14,658, forward strand.
GATCCTTTGTAAATGACGCGTTGCCTTTTTCCTAAGCTCTTCTGGCATCCATGGCTTATAATGCACTATCTGCTGTCAAACTTATTGAGGATCCTTTGTAAATGACGCGTTGCCTTTCTCTTGCTGCTTTCAAACATTCGCTTTGCCTTTTGACAATTTGAAACATAGTGTGTCTTGGTGTGAATATCTTTGTATATTTCCTTGAAGTTCACTGAGCTTTTTGAATGTATATATTTGTTTTTAGTGAAATTTGGGAAGCTTTCAAACACATTTCTTCAAATAGTCTTCCTGCCCCTCACTCCCCACCAGGATTCTGTATGTAGGCATTCTTGATGTTGTTACACAGGTCTTTAGGCTCTATTCTTTTTTGTTGTCATTCTTTCATTTTCCTGCTCTTCAGACTGAATCATTTCATTTGATCTATCAAGTTCACTGATTCTTTTTTCCAGCTGCTCAAATCTTCTATTGGAACCCTAAGTAAAAAGTAACTTTTTACTTAGTTATTGTACTTTTCAGCCTCAGAATTTTTTTGTACCTTTTAAAAAATTCATATTTCTTATTTATTTATATGTCATTCTCTTGGGTTTCTTTAGCTCTTTAAGTTTATTTACGACAGTTATATAAAGTTTTTGTCTAATATTTCTAATATCTGCTTACTCAGGGAGAGTCTCATTTATTTCTTCTGTAAATGGGCCATAGTTTTGTGTTTATTTGCATGCTTCTTAATTTTTGTTGAAAACTGGACATTTTGGATATTATAATGTGTTTATTCTGGAAACCAAATTTTTCCCTTCTTCAAGGTTATTTTTGTTACCCACTGTGGAATGTAGTTTTTATTTGTTTAGTAACTTTTGTAAACTGGTTTTGTAATATCTGCATTCTTTTTTATGTTTGATGTTTGAAGGCTCGGTTCCTTTAGCTTGTGTTCATTTAGCATTTAGTGATTTAAAAATGATTTCCTTGACTGCAAGGAGCCAAAAAAGAAAAAAATATGAAAAACATCTCCCAGACTTTGCTTACTGACTCTGTATTGGGGCTCCCTCAACACTTAGCGGAGCCATGTATAATTCTGCCTTAGCCTTCATTTTTTCTTGCTGTGAGCCTAGGAATTACTAAAGGTGAGTTATTAGTGTCTTCTCAGGCCTTTTCTGAGCATGTGTCCCACCTTGGCCATGCTTATGGATTTCCAAATTTTTCATTGTATGTAAGCACTTTTGAGTATTCGAATTTCCCAAAGGAACTTTCTCTCCTGCTTTTTCCTCAAGTTTTCAGTACAGTATATCTTGCCTCAATTGTAATATTTTGCCGCAAATGGCTGAGGGTTGTTAATTTGCCTTTGGACGATCTGATTTCTAAAGGTTTGGTGGAATTCTCCGTGAAAACATCTAAACCTAGTGTTTGTGTGTGTGTTATAATTCCATGACAACTGTATTTCTCTATGGAAATTGCTCACATAAGTGCTGTACTTCTTTTTTTTTTTTTGAAGTCAGTTGTGGTGAATTGTATTTTTCTAGAAAATTACCCATTCCCTCTAGCTTTCAATGTTTTTCATAGATGTGAACAACATTGTTTTTAATGATTTTTTATTTGCTGATTATCAATAGTTATTTCTCTCACCATTCCTTATTCATTTTTGTGCTTTCTCTTTTTTTTTATTCATGATTAAGAGATCTAATTTTTTTGTCAACTTTGTTGATTTGTTTAAAGAACAAGATTTTTGGTTTACTGATTTGATCTGTTTTTTGGCTTCTTATTTTATTAATTTTCACTTTTTTCTACTTTGGGTTCTTTCTTGTACTTTCTGCTTACTCTTTTAGATACTTTTTACATTTTTCAGCTGATAATTTAATTCCTACACTTTTATTAATAAATGTGTTAAGGCTATAGATTTTCCTCTGATCACTGCTTTAACTATATCCCATATACAGATGCTCCTTGATGTATGATGAAGTTTTGTCTCAACAAACCCCCGTAAACTGAAAATATCATAAGTTAAAAATGCATTTAGCACACCGAAAATTATAGGTTGGCCTAGCTTACTTTGAACATGCTCAGAACATTTAGATTAGGCTTCAGTTGGTCAAAATAATCTAACAAAATGTCTAAATAAAGTATTGAATAACTGATATTTATTAAATATGGTACTGAAAATAAGAAACAGAATGGTTGTATGGGTACTTATCATTAATGTACGTAGCTGAAATTACACAGGGCCTGAAGAATTTTTGAAGCATTGAGCTAAGGTTAATTGCTGAATGATGGGACTAATACTTTGACACAGTCAGTCTCTGTCTCTTCCGATCATGAGGGTTGAGAATAGCTGGTAGAAAGTATTGATGCCTGTTGATGGTAGGCAGGCATTATGTTCTTCAGGAAGATATCAAGATGGATTATCTACCTTTATTATCATTTGGCTGACTGGAAGCTGCAGCTCACCGCTGTTGCACAACATTGTGAGAGAGCATTGTGCCACATATTGGTAGTCCAGGAAAATATCAAAATTCAAAATTCGGAGTCGGGTTTCTTTCTTTTTTTTGAGCTGGAGTCTCACTCTGTTGCCAGGCTGGAGGCAGTGGCACGATCTCGGCTCACTGCAACACCTCCGACTCCCTGGTTCAAGTGATTCTCCTGCCTCAGCCTCCCGAATAGCTGGGATTACAGGCACGCACCACAATGCCCAGCTAATTTTTGTATTTTTAGGAGAGACGGGGTTTCACCATGTTGGCCAGGATGGTCTTGATCTCTTGACCTTGTGATCCGCCCTCCTCGGCCTCCCAAAGTGCTAGGATTACAGGCGTGACCCACTGCGCCCATCCTGGAGCATGGTTTCTAATGAATGGATATCACTTTCACACCACCATAAAGCTGAAAAATGGTTGAACCATTGTAACTTGGAAACAGTTTGTATTCTGGTATGCACTGTTTTATTATCACTATTCAGAATATTTATGTCTTGTTTTTGTATTTCCACTGTCATCCTTGTGTTTGGTTTTTTTTCTTGCTGATTTGTTCCAATTCTTTGTAGATTCTGGATATTAGTCCTCTGTTGGATGCATAGTTTGTGAAGATTTTCTCCCACTCTGTGGGTTGTCTGTTTACTCTGCTGATTATTTATTTTGATGTGCAGAAGGCTTTCAGTTTAATTAAGTCCCATCTATTTATCTTTGTTGTGTTTGCTTTTGGGTTCTTGATTGTGAAGTCTTTGCCTAAGCCAATGTCTAGAAGTGTTTTTCCAATCTTATCTTCTAGAATTTTTATGGTTTCAGGTCTTAGATTTAAGTCTGTGAACCATCTTGAGTTGATTTGTTTATAAGGTGAGAGATGAGGATCCAGTTGCATTCTTCTACATGTGGCTTGCCAATTATACCAGCACCATTTGTTGAATAGGGTGTCCTTTCCCCACTTTATGTTTTTGCTTGCTTTGTCAAAGATCAGTTGGCTGAAAGTATTTGGCTTTATTTCTGGGTTCTCTATTCTATTCCATTGGTCTATATGCCTATTTTTATACCAGTACCATGCTGTTTTGGTGACTATGGCCTTATAGTATAGTTTGAAGTCGAGTAATGTGATGCCTCTAGATTTATTCTTTTTGCTTAGTCTTGCTTTGGCTGTGTGGGCTCTTTTTTGGTTCCATGTGAATTTTAGCCTTGTTTTTTCTAGTTCTGTGAAGAATGATGGTGGTATTTTGATGGGAATTGCATTGAATTTGTAGGTTGCTTTTGGCAGTATGGTCGTTTTCACACTGTTGACTCTATCATTCATGGTGAACAGCAGGGGGTGTGGGTAGGACCCATGGGAGACAGACTTGTTTCTTCTTTGTGGTCGACTGCAGCTTGTTGGAGGTGTGGATAAAGCACTGGGGTCTTTGCTCCTTTGTTAGTTCAAGGGTAGCAGGGGTAGTACCACTGTAGAGGCAGTGGCAGAGGGGCTTTTGGTTGACCCTGGGGGCTCCATCTCCAGGTGGAGCTGCTATTACTGGGAATGTTCAGCCTGGGGGATGGAGCAGCTGTACTGCTGGTGTGAGGTTAGGGCTCTGCTTGTTGGGGATCAGGGGGTTTAGGGCTCACTGGGAGAAGAGACTGGTCTCCTCTCCATATGGGAACTGTGGCATGCTGTAAGTTCAGGTGCAGCCTTCAGGCGCTTTGTTTCTTTCCAAGCCTGAGGACAGCATGGATAGAACTGCTGCTGTGACAGGGGCAGAGAGGCTGTCGTTTGCCTCTGGGAGCCTCTCCCTAGGGAAAGTCTGGGCCACTGCCAGTAGGTAAGCTCAGCTGTGGGTGGGGCAACTGATCTGCAGTTATGAGCTGGGTGCTGTGCCTGGTGGAGTGGGTGGTGGGGGTTCCCAGGGGAGGGGGCTGGATTCCTCTCTGTATGGTGGCTGTGGTGTGCTGAAGGTGCCACTGTAGTGATTAGACTCTTAGTTCCTTCTGCAGCCCAAGGGCTGTTATGGTGGTACCACTACAATTGCAGTGGTTGTGAATTGACTCTGGTATTTCCTCCTTGGAGAAATGCTGGGCTACTTCTTATTGAAGTGGTCAGGTGGGGGGCAGGGTAGTTGTACAGGAGTCCCAGGCCAGGCGGCCCTGTTTGGTAAGGAGAAGTGAGGACTGAAAACTGCAGGAAGAAAAATGCAGCCACTCTTCCGTGAGGCAGGTGCTCTGTGCTGGGGGTTCAGACCAACCCCTGGTCCCTGTGGACTCTCCAGGGTGAGGGCTGCGAGATTGGTTTTCTTATTAGATGATCTGTTTAATGCTGAAAGTGGGGTGTTGAAGTCCTTCACTATTATTATATTTGAGTCTACCTCTCTGTTTTGACCTAGTAGTATTTGCTTTATGAATCTGGCTGCTCCAGTGTTGGCTGCATATATATTTAAAATTGTTATATCCTCTTTCTGGATTGATTCCTTTATCGTTGTATAATAAGCATTTTTGTCTTTTTTCTAAAGCTAGTTTTGACTTAAAGTCTGTTTTGTCTGACATAAGTATAGCTACTCCTACTCATTTTGGTTTCTGTTCATGGAATACCTTTTTCCATCTCTTTTCTTTTAGTTAATATGTGTTTTACAGGTAAAGTGCATTTGTTCAGGGAAGCACATAGTCAGGTCATAGTTAAAATTCATTCAGTCAGTCTATATCTTTCAGGTGGAGAATTTAGAAGAAATATATATTTTTTAAAATTAGTTAATTTTTTATTTTTGTTTGTTTTTTGTACAGATAGGGTCTCACTGTGTTGACCAGGCTGCACTTGAACCTCTGACCTCAAGCAATCCTTCTGCCTTGGCCTCCCAAAGTGCTGGAATTATAGTCATGAGCCACCACACCCAGCCCCTAAGTGGACATTTAATCCATGTACATTCAAGGTTATTATTGTCTATATTTGATATAATCAAATACTTAGTCATTTTAAAATTATTTTAATAGTTTCAAATATATTTGTTAAATTTGCTCTATTTGAATCAGGATCTAAAGAAGTTTCAAAGTTGCATTGGCTAATATATCTTTTTAGTTTTTAAAAATATATATGAATTCCTTTCTCCTGCTTTTTAGCTCTGTGTATTTGCTGAATAATCCAGGATATTCATCCTGTTGAATATTCCATACCTTGTGATTATCTTATTAAACCCTACGGTGTTCTTGCATGTTTCTCTCTTTGACATATTTCCTGTATATTATCATAAAATAGAGAATATTTACCAATTAGGCTCATTTCTAGTTGGTTCTATGTGCTCCATATTATACTTTATGTGTATTCACTTCATGTGATATAAAAATTGATCAGTAGGTTCAGGTATTTTCAGCTGATTCATTCCATATATGTTTTCTTCTGAAACAGTTACTCGTCATTTTAGCTTCTATTGGTTGTTATCTTAGGCCCATTAATTCATTGGGTTCCAAATGAATTTGTCTGTATGTTAGTGTCCTATGAAACAATTCTTTTCTCCGATGTTTTATAACTTAATTAAAATGCCAGATCTTGATTTTTAGCAGTTGTAATTTTTTTCTGTTAATTTAATTACATTTTTAAGTTACATAAAACAGCTACATGATTTCAAAGTCAAAAATATAAAATAAGATGTATTCAGAATAACTTTTATCCCTGTGCCTTGCCCTGTTTCCTCCTCCTGCCATAAGAAAATTATATATGGATTATGTTTTTGCCATTTTAAGTATGCTTATTTAAATATTTATAAAATATATACTTATATATGCATGTAAATCCAATGTATTTATCCCTGTTTTAACATAAAAATAACATTCTGGTGTCACTTTTTTGTTTCTTTTCAGTTAAGGTATACCTTGTAGATTACTTTAGAGTAGTATTTGGAGATATTTCTCACTCATTTTATAGTTGCTTCATACTCTATTGCGTACAAGTTTTGCAAGTAGTACTCACTAATTGTCATTTGGTTACTTTCCTTTTTTTTTTTTTTTTTTGAGATGGAGTCTTGCTCTGTCATCCTGGCTGGAGTGCAGAGGCACGTTCTGGGCTCACTGAAACCTCTGCCTCCCAGGTTCAAGCGATCCTCCCACCTCAGCCTCTCAAGTAGCTGGAATTACAAGTGTGCACCACCACACCCGGCTAATTTTTGTATTTTTGGTAGAGATGGGGTTTCGCCATGTTAGCCACGCTGGTCTTGAATTCCTGGCCTCAAGTGATCTGCCCGCCTCAGCCTCCCAAAATGCTGGGATCACAGGCATGAGCCACCACGCCCGGCCTACTTTCCGTTCTTTACTATGAAAAACAATGCTTCAATGAATAGACTTGTGTGCATCAATTATTTTGTATTTTTGCCAATATATCTTTAGGATAGAAGTAGGATTGCTAGACCAAAAGTCAGTACCATGTAAATTTTTTAAGATATTGCCAAGAGTTGTACCATTTTGTATTCTCACCAACAATGCATAAGAGTGCCTCTCTCGGTGTTTTAGACATGAAGTCCTTGCCCATGCCTGTGTCCTGAATGGTAAAGCCTAGGTTTTCTTCCAGGGTTTTTATGGTTTTAGGTCTAACGTTTAAGTCTTTAATCCATCTTGAATTGATTTTTGTATAAGGTGTAAGGAAGGGATCCAGTTTCAGCTTTCTACATATGGCTAGCCAGTTTTCCCAGCACCATTTATTAAATAGGGAATCCTTTCCCCATTGCTTGTTTTTCTCAGGTTTGTCAAAGATCAGATAGTTGTAGATATGCGGCATTATTTCTGAGGGCTCTGTTCTGTTCCATTGATCTATATCTCTGTTTTGGTACCAGTACCATGCTGTTTTGGTTACTGTAGCCTTGTCGTATAGTTTGAAGTCAGGTAGCGTGATGCCTCCAGCTTTGTTCTTTTGGCTTAGGATTGACTTGGCGATGCAGGCTCTTTTTTGGTTCCATATGAACTTTAAAGTAGTTTTTTCCAATTCTGTGAAGAAAGTCATTGGTAGCTTGATGGGGATGGCATTGAATCTGTAAATTACCTTGGGCAGTATGGCCATTTTCACAATATTGATTCTTCCTACCCATGAGCATGGAATGTTCTTCCATTTATTTGTATCCTCTTTTATTTCCTTGAGCAGTGATTTGTAGTTCTCCTTGAAGAGGTCCTTCACATCCCTTGTAAGTTGGATTCCTAGGTATTTTATTCTCTTTGAAGCAATTGTGAATGGGAGTTCACTCATGATTTGGCTCTCTGTTTGTCTGTTGTTGGTGTATAAGAATGCTTGTGATTTTTGTACATTTATTTTGTATCCTGAGACTTTGCTGAAGTTGCTTATCAGCTTAAGAAGATTTTGGGCTGAGACAATGGGGTTTTCTAGATATACAATCATGTCGTCTGCAAACAGGGACAATTTGACTTCCTCTTTTCCTAATTGAATACCCTTTATTTCCTTCTCCTGCCTAGTTGCCCTGGGCAGAACTTCCAACACTATGTTGAATAGGAGTGGTGAGAGAGGGCATCCCTGTCTTGTGCCAGTTTTCAAAGGGAATGCTTCCAGTTTTTGCCCATTCAGTATGATATTGGCTGTGGGCTTGTCATAGACAGGTCTTATTATTTTGAAATACGTCCCATCAATACCTAATTTATTGAGAGTTTTTAGCATGAAGCGTTGTTGAATTTTGTCAAAGGCTTTTTCTGCATCTATTGAGATAATCATGTGGTTTTTGTCTTTGGCTCTGTTTATATGCTGGATTACATTTATTGATTTGCATATATTGAACCAGCCTTGCATCCCAGGGATGAAGCCCACTTGATCTTGGTGGATAAGCTTTTTGATGTGCTGCTGGATTCGTTTTGCCAGTATTTTATTGAGGATTTTTGCATCAATGTTCATCAAGGATATTGGTCTAAAATTCTCTTTTTTTGTTGTGTCTCTGCCTGGCTTTGGTATCAGAATGATGCTGGCCTCATAAAATGAGTTAGGGAGGATTCCCTCTTTTTGTATTGATTGGAATAGTTTCAGAAGGAATGGTACCAGTTCCTCCTTGTACCTCTGGTAGAATTCGGCTGTGAATCCATCTGGTCCTGGACTCTTTTTGGTTGGTAAGCTATTGATTATTGCCACAATTTCAGCTTCTGTTATTGGTCTATTCAGAGATTCAACTTCTTCCTGGTTTAGTCTTGGGAGAGTGTATGTGTCCAGGAATTTATCCATTTCTTCTAGATTTTCTAGTTTATTTGCATAGAGGTGTTTGTAGTATTCTCTGATGGTAGTTTGTATTTCTGTGGGATCGATGGGACAAAAGCAATGACAACAAAAGACAAAATTGACAAATGGGATCTAATTAAACTAAAGAGCTTCTGCACAGCAAAAGAAACTACCATCAGAGTGAACAGGCAACCTACAAAATGGGAGAAAATTTTCGCAACCAACTCATCTGACAAAGGGCTAATATCCAGAATCTACAATGAATTCAAACAAATTTACAAGAAAAAAACAAACAACCCCATCAAAAAGTGGGCGAAGGATATGAACAGACACTTCTCAAAAGAAGACATCTATGCAGCCAAAAAACACATGAAAAAATGCTCATCATCACTGGCCATCAGAGAAATGCAAATCAAAACCACAATGAGATACCATCTCACACCAGTTAGAATGGCAATCATTAAAAAGTCAGGAAACAACAGGTACTGGAGAGGATGTGGAGAAATAGGAACACTTTTACACTGTTGGTGGGACTGTAAACTAGTTCAACCATTGTGGAAGTCAGTGTGGCGATTCCTCAGGGATCTAGAACTGGAAATACCATTTGACCCAGCCATCCCATTACTGGGTATATACCCAAAGGACTATAAATCATGCTGCTATAAAGACACATGCACATGTATGTTTATTGCGGCATTATTCACAATAGCAAAGACTTGGAACCAACCCAAATGTCCAACAATGATAGACTGGATTAAGAAAATGTGGCACATATACACCATGGAATACTATGCAGCCATAAGAAATGATGAGTTCATGTCCTTTGTAGGGACATGGATGAAATTGGAAATCATCATTCTCAGTAAACTATCGCAAGAACAAAAAACCAAACACCACATATTCTCACTCATAGGTGGGAAGTGAACAATGAGATCACATGGACACAGGAAGGGGAATATCACACTCTGGGGACTGTTGTGGGGTGGGGGGAGGGGGGAGGGATAGCATCAGGAGATATACCTAATGCTAGATGACGAGTTAGTGGGTTCAGCGCACCAGCATGGCACATGTATACATATGTAACTAACCTGCACAAGGTGCACATGTACCCTAAAACTTAAAGTATAATTAAAAAAAAAAAAAAAAAGAGTGCCTCTCTCTACAGCTTCATCAACAGGTTGGATTATCAAATATTGAGGTCAGATATTTGATATTTTATAGGTTAGAACTGATATTTAAGTATCATTTTACTTTGCATGCATCTTAATCTGAGAGACTTGAACATTTTTTTCATATATTTAAAGATAGTTTAACATGTGCTGGTGAGGCTACAGAGAATGGGGAACACTTCTACACTGCTGGTGGGAATGCAACTTAGTCCAGCCACTGTGGAGAACAGTCTGGGGATTTCTCAAAGAACTAAGAGTTAAACTACCACTCGATCCAGCAATTCCATCACCGCATATATGCCCAAAGGAAAATACATTGTTTTACCAAAAAGACACATGAACTTGTATGGGTTGTCCCAGTGCTATTCACAATAGCAAAGACATGGAATCCACCTGGGTGCCCAACAACTTTGGACTAGATAAAGTAAATGTGGTACAAATCCACCACAAAATATATGCAGCTAATAAGAAGAAAGTCACATCCTTTGCAGCAGCATGAATGCAGTTGGAGGCCATTATCCTAAGTGAATTAACACTGAAACAGAAAACCAAATACCACATGTTCTCACCTACAAGGGGGAGCTAAGCATCGAGTACACATGGACATAAAGATGAGAGAAACAGACACCACAGAGTAGCAGAGGGAGGATGGAGGAAGAGGGGAAAGAGTTGAAAAACTACATATTGGGTATTATTCTTGCTACCTGGGAGGTGGAATCATTTGTACTCCAGACCTTAGTATCATGCAATATACCTTTGTCTCAAACCTGCACATGTACCCTCTGAACCTATAATGAAATTAGAAAGAAAACCCCAAATATGGTCATTGTAGTCCAGAAGCTAAGATGTGGTATAACTGAATGGTTTATCAATTAGGAATGGATGTAAAAGTAACAATCTCTGTTCTTGATTTTAAGACCAGGTCTATGTGCCACATTTTATCTAGTCTAACACTGATGGGCATTTGGGTTGGTTCCAAGTCTTCCCTATTGTGAATAGTGCTGCAATAAACATACCTGTGCATGTGTCTTTATAGTAGAATGACTTACAATCGTTTGGGTATATACCCAGTAATGGGATTGCTGGGTCAAATGGTATTTCTAGTTTTAGATCCTTGAGGAATCACCACACTGTCTTCCACAATGGTTGAACTAATGTACGCTCCCACCAACAGTGTAAAAGCATTCCTATTTCTCCACATCCTCTCCAGCATCTATTGTTTCCTGACTTTTTAATGATTGCCATTCTAACTGGTGTGAGATGGCATCTCATTGTGGTTTTGATTTGCATTTCTTGCAGCCATAAAAAAGAATGAGTTCATGTCCTTTGCAGGGACATGGATGAAGCTGGAAACCATCATTCTCCGCAAACTAACACAAGAACAGAAAACCAAACACCGCATGTTCTCACTCATAAGTGGGAGTTGACCAATGAGAACATATGGGCACAGGGAAGGGAATATCACACACCAGGGCCTGTCGGGGGGTGGGAGGCAAGGAGAGGGATAACGTTAGGAGAAATACCTAATGTAGATGATGAATTGATGGGTGCAGCAAACAACCATGGCACGTGTATACCTGTGTAACAAACCTGTACATTCTGCACATGTATCCCAGAACTTAAACTATTAAAAAAGACCAGGCCTAATTCAGATAATATGTATGTATGTATGTATGTATGTATGTATGTATGTATATATGTGTGTATATATATATACACATATACACACATATATGTATATATATAAAAGAGTAACATATTTTACTACATAGATTCCAAACTTTTCTGCCTGCCTCCTTCCCAGGGGAGGGATGCCCATAACTTCTGGTCAAATTTCAGGAGAAATTCTGAATATACTGGTTTCTCCCATGGCGTTGTACACATTAATGCCCTTAGCAGTTAAATGAATTATGAATAAATTAGGGGTAAATTTTACAAATAAATGAAAAATAAAAGTTTTTTGCCTACAACTGTAAAAAAAAAAAAGACTGATTCTCCTTATGTATGAACTGTAAGTTTAACTGTTTTGCCCATTTTCCTATTAATATTTTGGGTTTTGTTTTAGAAGTTCCCTATGTGTTAGAAGTGCTAGTCTATTATGTGAGTTACAAGTAGTTTCTTCCCACTTTTAAATTTTCTCATAGTTTTATTACGCATTAAAAATTAATTTGATAGTCAATGTTATCCATCTTTACCATATTCATAGATTATAAAAACATTAACTTGTTTTCTTTTAATATTTGCATAGTTTTTTTGAAAAAAGAGTTATGTCTTGAATTCACTTAGAGATTGTCCTGGCATTTGGTGTAGCAAATAAATTAAATATATCTTTTCCCATATTGCTATCCAATTATCCCACCATCACATTAGTAGGCCTTTCCCCCCTGCACTGATTTGAGATACTGTCATTATTATTTACTACTTTTATTATGTGTTTTTAATCTGCTTATAAATTTTCTATTCTACTTTTCCTAAGATAAACATAATTTTGACCCTTTTATCATCTGACTCTCCTTATCTATTAATTCAAGTCACATTTTGACAAACTAGATTCCTTTTTTCTTAGAATATTTAGTGTTCAATTTTATTCTGGCTCAGTGATTCTCCCTGGAAAGAGAAGATATTTGTCAGAATCATTTGCTAAGGTTTTTTTTTTTTTTCAATTTATATTTTCCTTCTATCTTAAATTTTCATCATGCCTTTCTAGGGTGGTAAGGTGGAAGTATATGAGTACACACTTGCACACAAATATACACACTTCCACTCACAAGTACAGTATCCCAAATGAGCATCTGTTAAGATTGGGATGTGTCATATTTCACAAGAATGTTGGGAAAAAGTAAAGTTTGAAACTTTTGGCTTTGTTAATATATAGGATTTTAATAGTATCTAATGTTTATTCATGCTTAATATGTCTCGAAGTGGGCTATTTGATTTATATCTATTTTGTCATTTTCCTTCATAATAACCATGCATAATAGGTATAATCTCCTGTTTATAAATGTAGAAACTAAAGCTCATGAAAGCTACGTAATGTGCCCAAAATCATGATTAATAAGAGTCAGTAGAGTTGAATCCAGCTCTTTGTTTTTTACTTTAAAGCCTGTGCTTTTAAACATTAACCATGGAAAATGACATAGATGGATCCAAGTAATATACTTTGTGCCAACATGATGAGAGCCTGGATCCCTCTAAATTCTTTCTACTGCTTATGAGCAGTTATACCACAGATGTCTAGGACCTAGAAGGCACATTTCACATTGGCAAACTTACTCTTCCACTCACTCCTGATAATGCCCTCATGGATTCTGGGTTGTTATAGTGGTGGGAGGTGAAGTATAAACTTATAATGGGAGGCGTTTGTTTTTCAACCTCTTAAAAGTTGACATATATCTCCTTACCACTAAGCATATATTTTTTAAATTAAGATGTGACAGTTCTTTTTTTATGTTTTTCACAAAATGGACCAAATAAATTTTTTTTTAAATTTATAAGCTAGGCTATATTTTCTCTCCTTTCTTCTACTAAACTTAGGATCACACAGGAAGGAACAGGTGTACACAAATACTAATATATTTATGCCTTTCTTCATTCTAAGAATTAGCAAAAGAATATTTTGAAAGCATAATAACTTTGTATCTGTATTCCAAAATATAACACACAAGTTGTTGAAAGATAAATTGAGGCAATGTATGTGGAAGTTCCTAGACAATTACTAAATTATATGGGAATGGAGGGCACAATTTTCATGAGCTTTACTAAATAACTTACCAACTTCACTATATTTTGTGTCATTATCTGAGATTAATCTCACAGTTATATAAGATCTAAAACTTTACACTAGAATGTGCATCCCATTTTCTCAGCCGTCTTATTGCCGTCTTCATGTCTTTGTTCCTCAGTGTGTATATAATTGGGTTCAAGAGAGGGGTGATCACAGAATAAAATACAGCAAGGAATTTATCTAATGACTTGATGGGGAATGGCCAGGCATAAATAAAGACACATGGTCCAAAGAACAAAAGAACTACTGTAATGTGAGCAGTCAAAGTGGACAGAGCTTTGGACGACTTATCTAAAGGGCAATGCTGGATGGTCATTAGGATGATAGTGTATGAGATGATTAGAAGAACAAAAGAACACACAGTGAGCACACCACTGTTAGCAATGACCATAATATCTAGCCTGTAGGTATCTGTACAGGCAAGTTTGATTACCCTAGGAAGGTCACAATAAAAACTATCGACCTCATTGGGACCACAGAAGGGTAAGTGCACGGCAAAGGCCAACTGGCTCACCGAATGGAGAAAGCCAATTCCCCATGCGACAGCCATAATGCCGACACATGCGTTGCCACACATAATTGTAGTGTAGTGTAGGGGTTTGCATATTGCTATATATCTGTCAAAGCCCATGGCTATGAGGATCACCATCTCACTCCCACCAAAGAAGTGAAGGAGAAATATCTGAACAAGGCAGCCCTTGAAAGAGATGACTTTGCGCTGGCTGAAAAAGTCAGTAATCATCTTGGGGGCTGTGACTGAAGACAGAGACAGATCAATGAGTGAGAGGTTGGCTAGCAGGAAGTACATGGGAGAGTGAAGGTGGGAGTCAGATACCACTGTTATGACAATAAGAAGGTTTCCAAACACGATTCCTCCATAGAATACAAAAAACAACATAAATAGGAAGGTCTGGAGTTCCTGAGAATCAGAGAGACCCAGAAAAATGAATTCAGTCACCATAGAGTTATTCGTTTCACTCGTTGATTCATTCCAGGAAATAGCCTCTGCAGTTACCTTGAAGAAGAGAAGGAGAAGGAAGTCAGAATTATTATATTCAAATTCAAAGCCTCATTTTATATCATTCTGCTCACTCTTACAGTGACTTTCTATAATCTATTACTTAAAGACATTCAGAATTCAACAAGATCATAATTTTGTCTCGCACTACTTCCCTGGCTATGCCTTATAATTCAGTTATCTCAGCTTCTCAGTGTCTCCATTAATGTTAGGTTTATTCCTAATATAAAATACCATTATTTATGCTTGTCTCTCTGCCAGATTAAGTCTATGCCATAACTCTATGTTTATCTCCTTTTTCTTTGAACTACAAAACAGTTTGTAGCACGCATGTTATTTGGTGATATTAAAGTTCTTAAGAGAAAAAAATAGGCCAAAATGAAATGAAAGATAAAAAATAGAAAAAAAGAAAAAATAGTATCACAAATATAATACTTAAAAATTAACAGAGGATAAAAGAATAGGGAATTCAAAAGTGAAGTGAGAAAAAGTGAGGAAAATGCAATAAAGTTTAAATGAGAGAAAGTGTGAAGGACTTTCATAGGAGATAAAACTGGTAAGAGATTTTGGAATGCTTTCTAAAGCATTTCTGTTTTATTATAGAGACAAGAACTACTGAAAAATTTTGAATGATTGTTTAATTTAGCTCTGGACTCAATGTGAATTGGAAGGGAGGGAGCTTGGAATTGGAAGGGAGGGAGCTGATAATAATTATAACAAGCACTAGTATAACAATACTTTACATAGAGATCCCTTTTAGGAGCAGAAATAAATACAGAAAAAGGTAAAGGATAATGATGACTGTCTAGACACAAGGAGGTATTGTTGGGGCATCTTTGTAAGTTGCTATCTGCCAGGTGAGAGACTGAACACTGACTTCTGGGCATGAGTTGAGAGCCATTTCAATTGTGTATGGAGGAGAGAAAATAAGTACTGTTTCAAGAAGTTTTGCAGTGAAGAGAAGTAACAAATAAAAGGTGTCCTGAAAGTGAGGCATAGCCATATTAACAATCTTTGGATTAGGTATAAGAGTTAATGGGCAAGTAAGATGTAAAAGGGAGAAGTGGAAATTGATCACTAACATTCCACGGGAGACATGAAGGTATAGAGTTTACACTTGCCATCTTTTTTGGAGGAATACTGTTATTTGATTTTTGCTGTTTTTTAAAGAACAGTAATTCATAGTGCTTGGAAATTCTACTTTTCTCTTTACTACTCTGAATCCCATTTCTTAGTCCTACACACTCAAGCAGCACATTACTGTTTTTAAAGTCCTATAAAAATTTAGTGATCTTAAATATTTTTAAGAATAAAGAGAAGTCTAATAGTGGAATAAATCATGAACATTCACTTCAGTTCTCTTCTGCTTAGCACGGTAATAAATATAATCATACTAATCATTGACAGTACAAATGATAGGATTTTTATTGTGAGATAATTTCTGTCCTGACTGGTTGGTTGGACTGTTTCTTTTGAATCAAAGTGTGCAATTTAGAATAGACCTTAAATATGCATTGACATAAAATTAATTCATTTCATTGATAGGCAAGGACAATCTTGAAGTTATATCTTCACATGAAATATGCCAAGGATGAGGTTGACCCGAGGGTTCTCATCTGTAGCAAAAGACTTTCTATCATGGCTGTTAGTAAGAATTCAGGAATGCTATTCTTTAGCAAAAGGAATTTCTTGCTAACGTAGTTAAGACATCTCTCTCCTGAATTTGTGCTGCTGAGGGGATCCTTCACCACCATAATTCTTTCAAAGCTCATTTCTGACTTTTCAAAAATTATTCAAAAAAATTTAGAAGAATTGTATTTATTCTAAGTTGAACATTAAGTTTAGGCTTATTAAAGGAGTTCTTCAGAATCTTACACACTCATTGTAGCAACCATGAAGAGCCAGCCACTGTTGACAGGTAAAATCTTTCATGCCATAGATTATTCATGGAATTCAACCATTAGAATTATATATAATTCTGTGAAAATTGCTGTAGTCCCTTGAAGCATAGTAGCATAAAACTGTAAGAGAATAATATGTAGTGAATTGTCCTTTTTAGTAAACCACTTGGTTAATTAAAAGCCCTTTATGAATGGACTAGATGTACCTGAAGAGATCTGGGAATAGCCAGTCTGAGCTTTGTGTACTGAGACTAACTTTTATAGTCTCACAAGTTTTCCCTTGGCCATTAGAGAAAACACACAGAATTTTCCTGAGTGAGAGGACATTGCCACAATTTTTTGGCCTATTTGGATATTTTTGCTATCTCACTGAGTCTAAAGGTGCTTTTTAAAGAATCACAGCAAAACAAATATAATAAAGTTACAAAATTAAAATCCAGATAGGTTAACAAGAGAGTAAGTAATAATGCTTCGATTTTATAAAAAGAGGAATGCTTAGAACTTTTATGACCAACTTGTGGAGAAAATATAGAAAAATTGCTTTAACCAATAAAAAACCTCACTTCTTGTAACTTATTTTATTTTGCATCTTTAATTACCATGCAGTAGTTAAAAGTGAGCTGAGTGAGTCACCACAATTTATGTTTCTTAAAATAGTCATAGAAATACATCCAAGTGATGTCTCAGTTGTGTTCCTTGACCACCAAACTTAACAGGTTTTACCTGAAAGATGTCAATCGCCTTCTTTGTCCTAAGCACCTTAAGTTAAGCACAGGCACATTAAATGTGCTTTTAAGATCTCAATGGAGTCTCTTCTCCAGGAAATAAATCTCTTCCTATACTTTTAGGTTGTAGATGCTTTTTAAGAGTGACTCGAGAAATGCTTTGAAGAAGATTTCAAGGGCAATAGGATTGTGTTGTTAAAAAAGTGTAACATAGACAAATTTTGCATAATACAGAGTACTAGAGTCTATTTTTTTTATTATACTTTAAGTTCTAGGGTACATGTGCACAATGTGCAGGTTTGTTACATATGTATACATGTGCCATGTGGGTGTGCTGCACCCATTAACTCGTCATTTAACACTAGTTATATCTCCTAATGCTATCCCTCCCCCTTCCCCCCACCCCACAACAGGCCCCGGTGTGTGATGTTCCCCTTCCTGTGTCCATGTGTTCTCATTGTTCAATTCCCACCTATAAGTGAGAACATTGTACAAAACATATTGACAATCAGCCTGAAAATAATACTTAAGGGTTGTAACAAGCTGTTGACCTTACCATTTATCTAACTTAAAGTACAATTAAAATAAAAATTGTTTCTTCCTTGATTTTGGCATTTACTAATTTATATAAACTCATATTTTATCCATTGGATCCACATAATTTCCATAAGAAAATTAATTTCCAGTGATGCTTATTATCAGCATAAAAATACTGATAAATAAACCTAGGTCATATATATGTGTATGTGCTTATATACAGATATAAAATAACTACATCAAAATTAAAGATAGTCATTGCTGTTAATTAGATACACACATTAGATAGAAATATATACTTTTTATGATTAACAAAAAATGTTGCAACTTTATCTGAAATACAATTCTTAGATTTAATGCATCCTTTTTGCAGATTTTTCAGTTTTTTCAGGCAATACTAAAAATGTGCGCGTTCCATAGTGATCATGGTGATCACAGGAGTCTTGATGGTCCATGGCATTTATCCTGTGCTCTCATCAACCAAATGTGTTATGTCATCTCCATAGAATTTAAAATATGTTGATTCAGCCTTCTCATTGCAAACTTCATATCTTTGTTCCTTAAAGTATAGATGGCAGGATTTAAGACAGGGGTGACAACAAAGTTCATGATGGCAAAAAATTTATCCAATGACTTAGTAGGGAAAGGCCACACGTAGAGAAACATGCATGGAGCAAAAAACAAAACCACTACGGTGATGTGAGCCTACGAAGTGAAGAATGCTTTGGATAAATCATTTGAGGAATGTCGTTGGACAGTGACCAGAATAAAAATGTATGATACAATTAAGAAAAAGAAGGTGCCCATCGATATGAATCCACTGTTGGCAGTGACCACAAATTCTAGCCCATAAGTGTCCATGCATGCAAGTTTAATAACCCGAGGAAAATCACAATAAAAGCTCCCCACATTATTAGGGCCACAGAAGGGTAAATTTATGACAAAAACAAACTGAGACATAGCATGAATCACCCCAATGACCCAAGCTGCTGCTACCAAAAACATGCACATTTTGGGATTCATAATAGTTGGATAGTGGAGAGGTTTGCAGATCGCAGTGTACCTATCATATGCCATGACTATCAGCAGCACCATTTCAACTCCTCCCGTAACATGGATAAAGAACTTTTGTATCATACAATTATGGAAGGAAATAACTTTACAATCAGTAAAAAGATCGTAGATCAACCTAGGAACTGTGGTAGATGAAAGGCTCAAGTCAATGAGCGATAGGTTGGCCAGCAGAATATACATGGGGGAGTGTAAGTGAGGATCAAAGATCACTGTGAACACAATGAAGAGGTTTCCCAGGATAATTCCCACATAGAATAAAGAGAAGAAGAGAAAAAGGAAAAACTGCATTTCCAAGGATTGTGCAAGTCCAAGTAATACAAATTCTGTTACCAGAGAGTCATTTACTTGGTCCACTGAATCAGATAGAAGGGAAGACTGTGAAGCAACCTGAAAGAAACGAAGGAATCAACTTAGTGTGACTGAAAATAATGCGTTAAGTGTTAATGATTTAAAATTTATTATTAACAAATCTTTTATTTGATAGTAGATTATTTAAAAACTAGTGGGAACCCAGGGTATAAAAGGTTAATGTAATATGGACAAAGCTGTGCTCAGAGGCAGTCTATTGCTTTAAATGTTCTCAATTGCTCAAATAGATGAACTTATTAGCATCTTAAGAAACTGGAAAAGAATGCATAAAAACTCAAAAAATTCAAGCCAAAAAAGGTAAAAAACAAAAATAAGGAAATATGAAATCCCAGAAAATGGCAAGATTGTATACCAATATATACAAATAAATGGTTTAAAAATTACAGAATCTTTAAAAATGCAATCAATAATAACATTAAATAAAAATTAGAATACAAATGCATAATTACGGTTAAGGCATCTCTGAAAGCTGTTTCCTACATGTGCCTATAATGATCTACCCCAAACTAACACGTGAATCATACTTGAATTTGAAATGCTGTAGAGACAAAAGGTTGATATCTTCATAGTATAAAAAAGAATTTAAACAGTTTCACAAAATCTCCAAGACCTAATAAATGAACAAATGAAATGAAGGAAGAATTAAAATGTAAGCTATACGTGTATTTGTATATACAGATATGTGTGTGTGTGTGTGTATGTGTGTCTTAGAAATCAAAGAAATATGATAAAATGTAATACTATTATGTTTCTGTTACATTAGGAAAAAGTTTTACAGGCCGGGCATGGTTGTTCACGCCTGTTATCCCAGCACTTTGGGAGGCCGAGGAGGGTGGATCACGAGGTCAAGAGATCGAGACCATCCTGTCCAACATGGGGAAACTCCATCTCTACTAAAAATAACAAAAATTAGCTGGGCATGGTGGTGGCGGGTGCCTGTAGTCCCAGCTACTCGGGAGGCTGAGGCAGGAGAATAGCTTGACCCCGGGAGGCGGAGGTTGCAGTGAGCCGAGATTGCGCCACTGCACTTCAGCCTGGCGACAGAGGGAGACTCTGTCTCAAAAAAAAAGAAAAAAAAGTTTTACAATTTTTATTACCCAAACTGGCTAAGGATCAGAGAAACTGGCACTTTTATACGCTGCTGGAGGGAATATAGACTGATTCAAACCTTAAAGAAAATATTTTGAAATCATGTATCAAGAATTTTAAGTCCATGCCTTTTGGTGCAATAATAGTCTTGGAATTCTATTTTTACAGAAGTTTTCAGCATAAAAATATTCATCATACTTTGTTGACAGTGATAAAATCTTGAAACGATTTAAATACCAAACATTAGGTTTAAGTATAGTGTATGTACATGACGGACTGTAATAACAGTTATTAAAATAAATATCAATAGAAGCATTTATAATAACAATGGAAAGACTTTTCTTAAAAATACTAAGAGTAATAA
Source organism: Homo sapiens (assembly GCF_000001405.40). Classification (NCBI taxonomy): domain Eukaryota; kingdom Metazoa; phylum Chordata; class Mammalia; order Primates; family Hominidae; genus Homo; species Homo sapiens. Next base: position 35,313 of record NW_021160015.1, read on the forward strand.
TGGTAAAGAAATTGCATAGTACAACATGTTAATTAACAGTAGTTGCTTTTGATTTTTAAAAGAGCTTTACAAAGCTCTAAAGCTCTCTTTCTAGATTTTGAAATATCTTTTTGTATACATATTATATTTTTTTTTTACAAAACATCAAATGGCATAGAAAGTTGAAGGAATAAATGGTTTATTAAGAATTTTGAAAACTAGGATTGACTCATAGGAGACTAAACCAACTAAAGAAATGAAGAACTCTACTACTTCCCTCATTTAATCAATCATTTTTATAATGACTAGAATTTTTTCATAGATGGGATTCTCAAGGAGGTATAGTTAAGTAAGTGAAGGGTCTTGATTAAACGTCTTGAACTTTGCATAATGCTACCATGAAATGGAAACCTTTTGAGACATTCCATCCAGGCAGTTGACAAAGCATCTTGCCTGCCTCACTTTGACCAGAGCTGGCCATACTGAACGAATTCTGGTAATCATTAAATAATTATAAGAAAAATTAATGCTCAGGTGCTCTCATCAAGTTCAGAGTGAGTGAGGTTAGTAATGATGAAGTGGGAAATATTAAGAGATACACAATAAATGGTCAAAGAAATGCAATATAGTACAATGGGATAAGAAGAGATAATATTTTGGGAAGAATACAGCAGATGGAAACAAATAGATTTGATTTCTATCTCCACAATATGCATGCATTTTTTTAAACTCTCAGTGAATTTGTGCATGGCTTTCTACCTTCTCTCATCTAGATATTCTCCTAAATGCTCTTTCCAGCATTTTCTGAATGAAATACATATGGATGGTCCCTGGCTTGTGATAGTTTGACTTATAATTGTTTGACTTTACAATGGTGAGAAAGTGACATGCATTCAGAAGAAACTGTACTTGAGTATAGTAGTCAGTATATTACGTGAGCTATTCAATATTTTATTATAAAATAGGCTTTGTATTAGGTGATCTTATATAAGCTAATGAAAGTGTTCTGAGCACATTTAAGGTAGGCTAGGCCAAACTATGATGTGAGGTACATTAGGAATATTAAATGCATTTTTGACTTATGATGGATTTATCAGGACATAACCCTATTATAAGTCAGAGAGCATCTGTACATTTTTAACTATGTTTTACTATTTTCACTTCATTCATAGTGCTATCCCTGGACTTCTTACCCATATTTAGATCACCCAGATCATAGGGGCTTAAGAACAAAGGATTTTGGGAGAGGAATTGAACCCGGGAAACATTATAGAGTAAATAAGATTATCCCTGGGAGGTTTCATGGAAATGTCCTTTATGCTGCTGAGCAGAAGGTGTTTGGTGACTTACTAAGCTCAACACCAATTCATAAATAGTTATTTATAAAGAAATGAAGTTGAAGCTGAAGAATCATGTTTACTGCTTAGGATCAAGTGTTTTATCCTGTTAAAACTAAGATACAATATATAAACCAAGCACTCTAGGACTCTCATCATGAAAGTGATATTTCATCTTATAAGAGCAATTCCAAAACAAAAGCAATTAATGTCTGAATTACTTTGTCATATTTGGAGATTCCTATTACTACTGAAATTCATATTGCTACTGAAATGGTGTTTGTCTTGGAGTGTGAGTGATAATTAATTTTCTTAAAGAGGAAAATCCCAAACTACATGAACCTATTAGTCTAAAGACTGAAAAATTCTCTTTATAACATGAACATTTGCCATTTTAAAATAAAACAATCGCAATCCAAAATATGAAACTATGGGCGTTCAATATCAGTGTGAAGGAGGCAGAGTCCATAGAATGTTTAAAGAGAGTAAAAAGGAAAGGGAAGAACAAAGATGAATTGGAAAGAAATTTGGAGAATAAAAGAAGGGTCAGGGGAAGGAATAAGAAAGAATCCCGGCCGGGCGCGGTGGCTCACGCCTGTAATCCCAGCACTTTGGGAGGCCGAGGCGGGAGGATCACGAAGTCAGGAGATCGAGACCATCCCGGCTAAAACGGTGAAACCCCGTCTCTACTAAAAATACAAAAAATTAGCCGGGCGTAGTGGCGGGCGCCTGTAGTCCCAGCTACTTGGGAGGCTGAGGCAGGAGAATGGCGTGAACCCGGGAGGCGGAGCTTGCAGTGAGCCGAGATCGCGCCGCTGCACTCCAGCCTGGGCGACAGAGCGAGACTCCGTCTCAAAAAAAAAAAAAAAAAAAAAAAAGAAAGAATCCTAAAGAAAAAACAGGATAAAATGATGATCAAAAGAAGCATTGGTGGAACATGGTACATCTTTACTTAGGTTACCTTCAGGCTTAAAGCAATATACATTGATGCATTATGAACACCTGAGAGAGTAGATTTTACTTGAGTTTTCATACACTGTTTATGTATATTGTCACTGCAAACATGGAAAGTAAAAGAAAAGCTGTAGGAAATAGTCACTGATATGTGGAGAAAAGTTAAGAGTTTAAGCTTGTGAGTGAATAGGTGTGATAATGAGGTATGGTGGGATTGAATGTATAGTTGGATATCACTGGCAGTGGTTCAGCTAACCGACAGGTGAGTTCTCTTCGAAAAGAATTAGGGAATAAGTGATCAAAATATGCTTTAGCCTCCAGGCAGTATTTTACTTATTCTAATATTTGTAGCTTTTCATAAATGTAAAATTAAAGTCCATGAGTGCAGGGAAACTTTTTGCATTGTTCAGTGCATAATTACTTGCCTAAAACAGTGCCTGTCTCATAGAAAAAGCTCAAGAAATACTTGATGAATGAACTTTCTAAAAACAGCATAATAAATTGTCAATATGAGAAATAAAATATTAGCCCCCACAAAAATAGAGAGAAATTGCATTTTAAAGTACTCCTTCACAAGCTTGTACTTGTTGATGAAAACTCAGTTGCATAAAAAAGGGAGTATTTAAATAAGTGAAGAAAGTCCTACCCATTCTGTTACAAACATTTGGAATTATTACATTTTATTGTTGAAGAAATCCTGATGACCCAAAGGAGCTTGTCTAGAGGAAAAGACCATGTGTTTGATTTCTCTGCCTTCTTAGGAAACACTGATGACTTTGGAAAGCTTCTAGGAGTTCTTCAGAAGCCAAGTTTCCATAGAGTTTGTCATCTTTCCTATTGGAGATTTAAAATTTGTCAGTCATTTAGGGTCTGGGACACATATCTTCAAACAGGAAATGCAGACTTATATTAAACAAAAAGGATGTTCAGAATTATAGTTTTGTATAGAAGTGGGAAAGAACTTTGAGATTCTACAGGTAGAATGAGAAACAACACAGTGTGGTTAAATGGCTAACAATACATTCAAGAAGTCAGAATCAGAAGGCAGATCTCCTAAATTCCAGTTTAATGATCTTTCTCAATAGTGGTCTATGCTTTCTTGGTAGAAACAGTCTTTAAAAAAATCTAGAAGCATATATGTTTGACAGGATCACTCTAACCTATTGGAAGAACCCTCTTATTCCCTGAGTTCTTATTTTGTTTAAAATAAAATTAGCATTCACTTCCTAAAATATTATTTCTTCTTTTTCACTGGGCATTGCTCTTCCCAATTCCCTTTCTTATTTCTTCAACCTGGAACAGTTCCATTTCAGAATTCATAGCCATCAGCTCCTCTGTACCCTCCCCTGGGATGAGGCCAAATCTTTCTGAATCTGAGATAGCCTCTCAGCCTATGCATTGGCTGGAGTGTTCCAATGTGGAGGAAGGTAATACCAAAAGAGAGAGAATCACACCAGACTGTGGGAGGTAAAGACTTGAGATTCCCTTCCTCTGGTTTAAAACTAAATCTGGTTTTCAAATAGGATGGAAATAGATGAGATCAGACATCTCCTTTTCAGAGTGGAAAATGAAGTTTATAATGAATTGGAGAGCATGAAAGTTAGAAAACTACACATCTTTAAAGAACTTCATACTAGGGACAAACTGAAATTATCATAGGGGTTTATATGTGGGATTAGTTTTATAAGACATAATATAATTTAATGATTAAAATTTGAAAATAAGAGATAGTGTGGAAGAAAAAGATAAAATATTTCAGAAAGCAGAAGATTTTGGGCACAAATATGTTACAGAAGAGAAGAAATTGAAAGGGAGTTTAGAAGGATAGAGAGAAGCAACCACGACAGGGAAAGTTTTGTAATTAAAAGCATCTCTTTTACCTGTCTTTTCAGGCATAGGATGTGCATTTTTAGGAGAAGGAGAAATTCAGATAGCTTAATCTTCATTTATGTAATACCCCAAAGACAAAGCTATATATAAGATTCTTCATATTGGAAAGGAAGCTAATTAGCTGCACAGGAGAGGGACCCACTGATGCTGCTGAGACAGACAATACCCAGCCCATTATTAGTTTCTCTTGGGGACTAGATCTCTGAGTCACACAATTTCCCCTTGACAAAAGTATCAAAAGAATTGCCTGCTGATGAAATAGGGGGAAGGAAGGAAGGATTTGAGGTACTACATTGGCTAGTAAAAAAGAATCCCCATTTAGCATGGGTAATCTTAGTGTGTGAATTGTTCGGAATGACTGAGATGAGGGAGTGAAAATATATTCAGGGTGGACAGACATACCTTCACTTATGGCACCATGAATGAAATTTGAAGAAATAAATATAAAACATCTGATCTTTAAATACAATGCCTGTAATTGATAACAGGTGAATAAATGGATCCTTCTCCTGTTATCAGTTATAGCAAATGTTTACCTCTGGATGCCAACCTGTGCTCCCAAAGTTTAGTGTGTTGGGGTTGAAGGTTTCTTTGAAAGTTTTTGACCTTTGTCCTTCCTGAATTGACTGGCTACAATTAAAATTTGTATTTTTTTTTGGATCATTTTTTTCAGAGGTATTGGAAAAACATATACAAATATAAAAGAAAAAATAGAATCATTCTGAGTTTCTGTAACAAGAGTGTGTTTCCATGAGGGTGAGGTAATCATTCACAAAAGGACCTGTATTGAGCCATTGAGACAAGCCTAGTGGATACCCCTGGAGAAGCTTGGCTTTATTATTGATGTAAAGACACAGAAAAATCTAATCTCCAGGTTATCATGGTGGCCTGAAAGTGCAAAGGCTCCACCTTGGTTTACAGTGGCATTTGTTTAGAGCTGTATTTCATTTTCTCTTGTTCAGAAATGAGGAAAATGATTTTCTCTAGAACAGCAGCAGAATAAGAAATGTTGGTTGATCCCAAATTAATTTTTGAAAAATAGTAACATTCCAAAAATACGTAAGCAAGATAAAAACTGCAGAATAATGTGGGCAGAAATATTTTTTAAAATTAGGATACACAGTCAGTTACATGGATTATTGTCTACCTAAGATGAGGTAAAACAGTGTAGGTGCTTAGGGAAACCACAACTACAGTGACGTGAGAGGAAAATCTGTTCTATTGCCCCCACAGAGGTCTCTTCTGCAACACAATGAGCAGTACATAAGTCATTCTGATGTGCCAATGTGCTCCTGTCCTGTGTGCCATTGTTCTAAGTGGGAAACTGGGGTAGCAGGCCGAACAGCGTATTGAAATGAATGAGGGAGCATCTAGGCAGAAATAAGTTGCAGGGAGTTGGCCAGCCAGATACAGAACATGTTGTGATTTGAAGGCTGTTTCCTGAGGCATGAATCATGGGTTTTCTAGGCAGCAAAAGGCTTTTGGGCTAACAGAGAAGCTGGAGTTGTTAATGAAGAGTTCATGAGACCTAGTAGTACAAGAGAGGACTGAGAGTGATAATTTACAGGCTTCTTCACCTGAGATTGGCTCAAGATTGGAATTGGCTTAAGCTGCAAAAGGAATTCATTAGTGGATTTCACCCCAGAGATTTGAGGTGATGCAGGCAGAGGAAATTAATTGAGAATAGAAAAGGAGATTAAAAAGGAAGTTCTTTAGTCGTATGACCTGTGATTGAACGTAAGAAGAAAGCTGAAGCATCGTTCAATACATTAGTCATGTTGCAATAGTTTTACTCTTTGCTATATTTATGATGTGATAGAGGTGAACATGACAAAGTCCTGCTCATGTTGAACTTAAAATGCAATGAGGAAGACATCACTGAATGAAAAATTTTGAGGGCTGTTAGTCTTACAAAAGAGGTAATAGGTAGTGCTAGAGGAATATACAATGGAAGGAACTCTTCTGGACTCAGGTTCTGGGAGGCCTCCCTGGTAAAATGATGAAACTGAAAGCTGAGATGTTAAGAGGCAAAACATGAAGGACGAATATTGTATACAAAATGATTAGCTAGTGGAAAGCCCCAGAGTTGATAGAATTTGAAGTTTCCAGGCAAGTAAAAGAAAACCAAATTGGATCTGGAGTTGCAGGGAAAGAGTATGTTATTCTCTGAGACTGAAAAAAAGGAAGGAAGCCAGGTCTTGGATGGCCTACTATACCATGATAACATACCAGTTTAAGGGCACAGAAGCATGTGAAGTGTCTTTAGCAAAAGAATTACATACTTAGATTAAAAATTTTTTTTCTTTTACTGAAGCGTAGATAATAGGATTTTAAGTGGGAAGATCGCATAGGTGACTATATTCTCTTCCAAAAATGACATAGGTAGGCTTAGACAGGAATAGTGGTGTTACAGATGAAAATAAAGGAACATATGTAAGGCTCTTTGGAAGGTAGAATAAGACTTGATGATTTATTGATTTTGGGGTACTATGGAGAAAGAAATCTATTATTTTCCCCAGATTTTGGGTTGTGCAACTAGGTAACTAGTTGGTACAAATTATTGTGACTGAGAACACTGAAAGAAGAGTAGGTTTGAAAAGAGGAAGCCTAGTTTAGTTGCAGACTTGTTGAGTGGAAGATCTTGTGTGGCATCCAGGAAAGTAGGAGGTTAGATCTGTGGATCAGGAACTCAAGAAATAGTACCAGGGTCAGGTGCAATGGCTTGTCCCTGTATTCTCAGCTACTTGGGAGGCTGAAGCAGACAGATTGCTTGAGGTCAGGAGTTTGAGACCAGCCTCAGCAACATAGTGAGACCCTGCCCCTTAAAAAAGAAAGAAAGAATGAAAGAAAGAAAAGGAAAGAAAAGGAGGAAGGAAGAAAGAAAGAAAGAAAGAAAAAATAGAAGGTTTGAGAGCCCCTAGTGTTTAGATGGTAATTAAAGCTGTGGGAATGGGTGATACGTAGAGATAGAATCTAAGTGAAAACAGGCCAAAGATCAAATTAGGGGCAATAGGTTGATTGGTGGTTAAGCAGATGAGGAACACTCAACAAAAGACACAGGGAAGGACTTGCCCAGGAGGTAGGAGAAAAAGCCAGGAAGCTGTGGTGTTCCAGAAGCCCGGTAGAGTATATGAAGATGGGGGAGATTAGCAGCAATTAAGAGAAGAAATTCCCATTCATATGAGTGATAAAGCAATTAAGTAGAATAACTTAGGAAGGTTCTTGGAGAGTCACAGGACAAAATAGCATAGGTACGGTTTCTCTTAATTGAGCTGTTATAATTTACAAAGCAGTAGAAACAAATACATGAAAAAAGTATGTGTAACTTCAATAGAGTTTTTATTTTGAATGCAGAAATCTTCAATGAAATTGAATATGCCTCACCATGTCTAGCTTTATTCTTATCCCAAAATATCAACCACAGATGCATAAGCTCCAGGGAATCTTTTGCCTGACTAGAAAACCTTATTTAAGAAACCAGTACCTCTAAACACATATCCTTGGGCGATTAGTCTCCTGTGAAACAACTGTTATTTCTACACATCTATTTAGAATAAACTTGGATGATTGACTTTTGGAATGTTCTCATTTTTAGAATAATAGAGATGTAGGAAAAAGTGAAAATGCTCTGTCTGTATCTATTTAAAGTCTTGACAGCATTAAAGAAATTTATTCTCTTCCTGCAATCACTCAAATCTGAGCACAAAACTGAAATAGCATCGTAAACTGACAAAGCTCAAGGTAAAGTCAAATCTCAGTTCAGGGCTTTGCACACGTATTACATAGTTGTTTTTGTTTCTTATTCTAATTTAAACAGAAATTAAAATGGAAATTTTAAAAATATACTTTATTAATTTATAATTTACCTAAGTTCACATTTTATTTATTCCATCTATATGCTTACTATGAGATAAATTTATTATGTTTTGAAGCTGAAAGTAATTACAATTAGCATGTCTCAGAAAATGTCATTCAGGAAATAGTATTTGAATATCAAGTTTACTCCTGCAAATCAGCTTGGTTTTGTATTCTTATCTCTCTTCTCAATGGAAGTATATGAAATTAATCTCTTCTCTGTGGTGGCAAGTTAAAGATACCTCTGACTTAATCAATTTCTACATGGCACCTTTGCTAAACTATCTCCCAAAATAGTAGTTCTTATCACAATAATGCTGGTAGCCATGTGACTTTCAGTGTTCTTGGTGAGACTGAATCATCTTGCACTCTGGATATGCACCATTTATTATGACATCCTGCTAGAACCTGCAATCCATTTTCCCAGTCTTTCCATGGAGACGTTCATGTCTTTGTTTCTTAATGTGTAGATCCTAGACAGGGGTGATAGCAAAAGGAACAATGAACAAATATTAATCATGTGTTGTTTTAGGCAAAGGCTACACATAGAGAAATATACATGGCATAAAAAACAAAATCCCTACTGTGATGTGATCTAACATGACACAAATGCTTTAGATAAGTCTCCTGAAGAAGGATTCTAGACGGTTACCGAAATGAAAATATAGGATATTATTAATAAGAAACAGGTAGCTATGGATATAAGCCCACTGTTAGCAGTGACTACAACCTCTAGTTTGTAAGTGTCTACACAAGCAAGTTTCATGACATAAGGAAAATCACAGTGAAAACTACCTACTCTATTAGGGCCACAAAAAGGCAAGTTTATGGCAAAAACAAACTGAGATACAGCATGGATTATCCTGACTATCCAGGATGCCTCCAACAAAGTAAACACACATTTTGGGGTTCATTGTGGTCAGGTAATGGGGAGGCTTACAGATTGGCAGTGTACCTGCTCTATGCCATGGTTATGAGCAGCACCATCTCAATTTTTACGCATGACACAAATGAAAAATATCTGTATCATGCATCTTGGAAAAGAAATGATGCTGCAGTTAGTGAAAAAGTCAGAACTGTAGGAGAAGACCCAGATCAAGAAGATAAATGTTGGCCAGTAGGCAGTACCTGGGGAATTTAAATGAGAGTCAATAATTACTGTGAACACAATGAAGAGATTTTCCAGGATAATTCCCATGTAGAACACAGAGAAGAACCAAAAAAGAAAAGGATGCATCTCCCAAGAGCTTGAAAGTCCAATCAATACAAATTTAGATACCGCAGAATTATTTACTCTATCCATTGGCCATTGACTCAGTCAGTAGAGAAGAAGCTTTAGTATTCTGAAGGAAGAAAGTGAGGAAGAATTGAGAAATACAAATGCTACACGTTGAAGTGTTGTTTGACCATAAATGATTTTGTGGGAAATATGTGGCAAGTGCTGAAATATGAAGACAGAAAACACACAAAGAGAGAAAATGAAAGAAAGATAAATGAATTGGGGAAATGCGGTGATCATAAGTTATTTATTAATTTATTAATCATGTGATGATAAGTTATTAATTATTAATAACAATTAGATCATAAGTTATTTATTAATTATTAATAACTATTAGACAAGAACAGCAAAGAAAAAAATCATGTGGGAATATGGCAGGTGGAGTGAAGGATTAGAGGGGCAAAGAATATAATTTCCGTAACGGAGTGCTTCTTTACCATGCGCATCGTGCAGTAATTACGGCTGCTTCAGTCTTACTCACCCATGTTCAACACAACGTCGTCCACGTAAGAAACAGTCACCGTATTTGAAATGCTAATAGCCTTAATTGTATTTATCTGCATGTACCCTTAGAGGATGTACTCTCTGATCAATCTTCTTTTTTTTTTTTTGAGGCGGAGTCTCGCTGGGTCGCCCAGGCTGGAGTGCGGTGGCGCCATCTCGGCTCACTGCAGGCTCCGCCTCCCGGTTCCCGCCATGCTCCCGCCTCGGCCTCCCCAGCAGCTGGGACCGCAGGCGCCCGCCACCGCGCCCGGCTAACTTTTTGTATTTTTAGTGGAGACGGGGTTTCCCCGTGTTAGCCGGGATGGTCTCGATCTCCTGACCTCGTGATCCGCCCGCCTCGGCCTCCCAAAGTGCTGGGATGACAGGCGCGAGCCCCCGCGCCCGGCCTCTGATCCATCTCTTACTTCACACAGTCTCAGGCATTAATCACACACTAAGAGTGACTGGCCAATGAGGGAAAGAGCAATTAATCTCAGAGGTACAGTAGCATAAAATGCAAAGACTTACTCTTCCGCTGGTTTTCCAATACGTGTGATTCCAGCCAATCACTTGTTGACTTGTTGGAGGAATAAGACTCACTTTAAATAAAGTGAAACTCAACCCCCACAAAAAAGAGTATCTGAAACTCAGAGAGAGGGCTTTTCCATGCTTTGTTAGGAATCAGAGTTGGTGCTTTTGAGAGTTCTGCTCTAGGATTAATACCTTTGACAATTTGAATATGAAGTTGGGAAATAATGGTGTCTTTACTAAAACAAAATATTTAATCATGATACACTAAAAGCACGTAAAAACTACAGGCCCACAGAGCCACAGAGATAAAGGTCACGATAGCTGGTCATCAAATATTTGAACTTTGTCCCATTAAGATATTTTTAAAGGTCAGTAAAATTGATACCAACTACACTTTAGAGAGAACATCTGTTATTATCACTACTTGTAAGTAGAAAGTTTGAAGATATCTATCCATAACATATTTGGATCCATTCATTATGTGATGTAAAGTGAAAAATTAGAAGTACATTTAAGAGTGACATATGAGAAAATCATTAAATAATGCAGAAAGGGGTAATTAAGATTCATACCAAAATGAACGTAGCCATTATAGACGATACAGATTTAGGTTTGTTGACAAGTCCAGTAAATTGTTAATGACAAAAGTTGGTTACAAAAGGATATGTCTTATGTAATATACTCTTTATTTGAATACACTGTAAAATATGTAAGTATATACATCAGCATCTCTAGAGAACCACTTTGGATAATGGCATTTTAGGTAACCTTAATATTAAAAAGGTTGACCATCTATATTTTGTTATTTTCTATATTGTTATTTTTCTTTTATGAGAAGGAAATGAAAGGAAAGCAATAGGAGAGAAAGAAGAGCAAGGAAAGGAAAGGAAAAAGAAAAGAATACTGTGAGATTTATGGAGGGAGTGAAATTTTCTCTCTCTCCCTCTTACACACACACACACACACACACACACACACACACACCAGTTAGAGACAGATGTTTTGTGGCATTGGTTTCATAACTTTATTATCCTTTGTTAAATCACCATTCTCAATTAGTGAATGACAGTTATTGGGTGCATTATGAAAAAATACCCGGGTGTTCTATGCCAAATTTTAACCAGAATTCTACATGCTAATTTGTTTAGAAAAAAATGAATACATGGAATGAATTTTGAGTTAGGGAATATAAATGATAACTGGATGGCATTTTACAGAATCCTTGGGTGTCCCAGTTATTTAGAACAGTGAGTCCTACACTGAAAACAATAGGAAAACACTCTTATAAGCCATACCTTCATTTTGCCAATTAAATTTTATTATTAAATAATTTTTTCCTATGTTTTCTAAAAGAGATAAGACTGAATGAAACAATCATCCTAAAGAGAAAAGCTAGAATTGTGTAGTGGCATCAGGCTTACTAGTAACTCTAAATACTACTATGTCGTGGCGATTAACCTGTTTATAGAGGATCCTATCTTTTGTTCAAGACTTATCAGGAGTTGGTTCTAACATTCAGTTAGTTTGCCCTGAAATATTGAATTCATGCTCAGAGCAGTGAGAAAAGAGTGTATTCAAATAAGTTGAAAGAGAAAACATTTAGTGTTTTGTTTTGTTTGTTTGTTTTGCTTTTTTAGAAAACATTAAAGAATCAGGAATCCTCCTAAGGGAGAGTACCTTAAGAGTTGGTTGCTATCCTTGCTGGATATCTTGGCTTTAACACTAATAAGTGGGTAACCTTTTCAAACAGATAATGTAGAAAATCAGATAGAATGTGTGTCTCCTGACTTCAGTGATTGAAGATTCTCTCTGCCCTAAGGAACTAAGGGAAATCGTAACTTTTCTGAGACCAAAAACACAAAGAGACAATAATACTTAAAATTAATTTCACCAGTGCCTTGTTAACTGATGTATCATATGCATGGATTTTTCTTTTTTTCTTTTTTTTTTTGACTTTTATTTTAGGTTCGGGGGTACACGTGAAGGTTTGTTACATAGGTAAACTCATGTCCTGGGGGTTCGTTGTACAGATTGTTTCATCCCCCAGGTAGCGCCCGGTAGTCAGTAGTTATCTTTTCTGCTCCTCTCCCTCTTCCCGTCGTCCTCAAGTAGACCCCACTGCCTGTTGTTTCCTTCTTTGTGTTTACAAGTTCTCATCATTTATCTCACGCTCATAAGTGAGAACATGTGGTATTTGGATTTCTGTTCCTGCCTTAGCTTGCTAAGGATAGTAGCCTCCAGCTCCATCCATGTTCCTGTCAAAGACATGATCTTGTTCTTTTTTATGGCTGCATAGTAATCCACGGTGTATCAGTACCACACTTTCTTTATCCAGTCTGTTACTGATGGGCATTTAAGTTGATTCCATGTCTCTGCTATTGTGAGTAGTGCTGCAATGAACATTCTCATGCATGCGTCTTTATGGTAGAACGATTTATATTCTTCTGGGTATATACCCAGTAATGGAATTGCTGGGTTGAATGACAGTTCTGTTTTTGGCTTTTTGAGGAATCGCCATCCCATGCTGCTTTCCACAATGGTTGAAATAATTTACAGTCCCACCAACAGTGTATAAGTGTTCCCTTTTCTCTGTAACCTCACCGATATCTGTTATTTTTGACTTTTTAATAATAGCCATTCTGCCTGGTATGAGATGATATCTCAATATGGTTTTGATTTGCATTTCTCTAATGCTCAGTATATTGAGCTTTTTTTTCATATGCTTGTTAACCATATGTATATCTTCTTTTGAGAGTGTCTATTCATGTTCTTTGCCCACTTTTTAATGGGGTTGTTTTTGTCTTGTAAATTTAAGTTCCTTATAGCTGCCAGATATTAGATTTTTGTCAGACTTACAGTTGGCAAATATTTTCTCCCATTCTGTAGGTTGTCTGTTTACTTTGTTGGTAGCTTCTTTTGCTGTGCAGAAGCTATTGTTTTATTAGGTTCCACTTCTCAATTTTTGCTTTTGTTGTGATTGGTTTCCGTGTCTTTGTCATGAAATCTTTGCCCGTTCCTATGTCCAGGATGGTGTTGCCTAAGTTTTAGCTCTATTCATAACTACCTTAGTTCATTGTGATAGAGGCCCTTTTCAGAACTGATAGACACAGTTTCATTAAACCATTTTCATTCTGATAATTACCCCTTTAATTCTTGGCCCAGGCATTGACTAAGATTATCAAATGCTTTATCAAATATGGCATACAGAGGGAATGGCCCCAGCATTCTCTATATGAGGACAGAAAATCACTTCCCCCCACTTTCCATTAGGAAAATGTAACGCACACGATGTGAACATGTTTGGTCTCCGCAGTGGGAAATGTGACATATCATATGACATAAGGAAGGTGACAAGAGATAACAGATCCTTATAATACTAATTCTCCAAAGAGAGACAGTACAAATGTCAATGCATTTAGAAATCTCTCCTTTAACGGGTGTAATATAATTTAGTGATTAAGATTGTAAGAATAATGCTCTGAGGATTGAAATAATTGGAGATAGGAGGAAAACAGAAAAGTGGAGGAGATAGAAGGTTGAAGGGAAATGTAAGAAGAGAGAGATTGCCTTGACATTGCTAAACTTTGGGAGCGTTTTTCTGACCTACCTGTTCTGTTCCAGGGTGTGCAGTAGTGACACTGGGAAACTGATCATTTTGATTTCTGCTTTCTAGTAGAATCAGCTCCAAGACAAAAGTATATATACATTTTCTTCCCAATGATTAACAGAGTTAATTAGTACCACTAGATGTTAGTGACCCATTGATGCTTCTTAGATCCTTGTAACCAGGCCTCCATTGATTTCTCTTGGGAACCAGATCTATGAGTCATATTAATTTTCTCAAGAGAAAAAATATCAGAAGAGTTACTTGGTGATGGAAAGTAAGGAAAAAAAGAAAAATGCAGGAAATATGTTCCCTCTAGGACAGGAAAGTGATACCATGAGCTTACTTAGATTAACTGAGTTGAGGGAAACTAAGACGTCATCCACCATTGTTGAAGATGCCCTCATTCATGGTGTGGGGGTCAGTGAGCTTAATGTGTGTCAAGATATTCTTTTAGAAACAAGGAAGAGAGCTTTAATGCAATGGTGATATTCGTATAACTATTCTTGATTTCTTCCCATTCAACACTTTTTTTTTTACTTCATTGGATAGGGATGACTGAAACCAACACTTTTATCATCTGTTAACTATTCCAAAATTTATCATTCAACACTGAAAATGTGTTGTATAAATGAATGAATGTATGTCTTCGTGTAACCATTCTTTCCTTAAAACATACCGAGTTCTGACTAAATATAAGGGACATGGAGCCATGCTTAACTGTTGAGCAAAATAAAAGGGCTCAAAAGTGTTTCTCTAGATCTGGAGGTGGTAAATTTGACTCATGGGACAAATCTTTTGTAAATAAAGTTTCACTGGAACCCAGTCACACTCATTTGTTTCTGTATTGTCTGTTGACAGTTTTTATGCTACAATAAGAGTTGAGTAGTTATGACAGACACTCTAGGGCCTGTAGAGCCTATAATATTTACTTTTGGCCTTTTACGGAAGAAGTTTACTGACCTTATCCTAGATCAAGGAAGTTTGGCAGAGGAAGAGGGTATGGTAGAAGCACCATCCATATCTATCTTCATCATCTTCATATATAGTTGGGAGTAAAGATGCAGATGAAAGTTGAGAAGGTAAGGTTCTTGAAGTCCTGTAAACCCTGCCTCCAGACACATTGTCTGGAATCAGGATGTCTACATGATTGCAGGGCTAATGTAAACTGAATTTGTGAGGACTTCGGTTAAAAAAATTGTTAAGAATTTCAAGGCAGAAACAGCAGAGCATTAAAAAAAGTGTAGGATCCTTTTAAGTGTGGGATCTTGTTCAACTGCACAGGACACACACTTGTGAAGCTGATGTTGTCTGCAATAATGCTAAGAATCTTAAAGTGTTGAATTAGAAGTTAATACAACTGGGCAAACCGCTCGGGTCCCCTTCCACACTGTGGAAGCTTTGTTCTTTCACTCTTCACAATAAATCTTGCTGCTGCTCAAAAAAAAAAAAATAGTTAATACAACTCTGAGCACTCAGTACATAAAGTTTCCTTTCCAGTTGCTGAAGGAATTTATAGTGGCCCGTACCCTGTACATTAACACATGAATGAGAGAAATGAGTGCATGAATATTTTGAACAGTGTGACTTAAGTGAGGTACGAACCTCAAAAAGACGTTTTTTAAAAATTTTAAATTTTAACTGCTATATTTCTTTTTGATAACAAGTTATATATCTTTATGGTGTGTAATGTGATGTTTTGATACATATGTATATTTATCGTGAAACAGTGACCACCATCAAGCTAATTAACGTAATTCATCATCTGACATAATTATCTTAGTCATTGCTTTGCAGAGTATGAGTGTCTGTTTCCTCACAGGCTCATCCATGATATATTATTATTTATGAAAACACAATAGCAATGCTATATTTTAAAATTTACATTTCTTTGATAAAAAGTGAGTTTGAATATTCTTCATATGTTTATTTTTTATTTGGATTTCTTGTTTTGTCCATAGTCTTTTTATGCTTATTTTAAATTTGGTTTAAATTATATTTAAAAACCATTTTCCCACATTTGTTTTTACTTTAATGAATTAATTCTTCTGTATAATTTTTTTAATCTGAAAATGTCAGCTTTTTTGTTTCTCATTTTTAAAAATTATTTTTTAATTGACAAAAATTATATATATTTGTGGAATACAGTGTGATGTTTTAATATATGTGTATGTTGTTGAATGAATAAATCAAGTTAATTAACACATATATTACCTCATATTAACATTTATAATATACTGTATTAGCAATTTTCAAGCATACAATACATTATTAATTACAGTCAACATGTCGTATATTGGGTCCCCTGAATGTAATCCTACTAATTGAATTTTTTTTCCTTTTATTAACAATGTCCCATTTCCTCATCCTCTCCCTGCCAGATAACCCTAGTAACCATCATACTATTCTCTGCTTCTATGAGTTCAGATTTTTTAGATTCTAAGTGAGATCATGCAATATTTGTCTTTCTGTGTCTAGCTTATTTCACTTAGCTTAATGTCCTCTAGGTTCATCCACGTTGTCTCAAATGACAGAATTTCCTACTGTTTTTAAGGCTGAATAATTTTCCATATCACATTTCATTTATCCATTCATCTGTCTATGAACAGTTAGGTTGATTCTATATCTTGGCCATTGTGAACATGCTGCAATAACATAGGAGTGCAGATATCCCTTTGACATATTGATTTCAATTCCTTTGGCTATATACCCAGAAGTAGGATTCTTGGATCATGTGATAGTTCTATTTTTAATTTGTACATGATACAAGGGTTCCCTTTTCTATCATCCTCTCTGATAGTTGCTATCTTTCATCTTTTTGATAAGAGCCATTCTAACAGGTTTGAGGGGACATCTCATTTTGGTTTTAATTAGTACTTCCCTGACAAATAGTGATGTTGAGCATTTTTTGATGTATCTGTGGCCCTTTGTATGTTGTCTCCTGAGAAATGTCTATTCCTGTCCTCTGCCGATTTTTAAATAATTTATTTTATTTATTTATTTATTTATTTATTTATTTATTTATTTATTTATTTTACTTTTGACATATTTGTGTTACTTGTATATTCTGGATATCAATCCCCAGTTGGATGAGTAGTTTGCAAATATTTCTCCCATTCAAGAGGTTATCTTTTTCACTCTATTGATCGTTTCTTTTGTTGTTAGAAATTTTTTAATTTGACATAGTCTCATTTGTCTATTTTTTCTTTTTTTGCCTGTGCTTTTAGAGTCATATCAGAAAAATGATGGCCCAAACCAATGTCAGGAAGAATATTTTCTATGTTTTGTTCTAATAGTTATACCATTTCATGTTTTAAATTTGTATTTAATCCATTTCCAGTTGAATTTTGCATATGGTATGAAATCAGGATTCAACTGCATTCTTCTGCATGTGAATATATAGTTTTTCCAGCATCATTTATTGAAGAGATTGTCTTTTCCCCATTGTCTTCTTGACATTGTTGTTGAAAATCAATTGAATGTAAATGTGTGGACTTATTTCTGTGCTCTTTATTCCATTCCATAGGTTTATCTATGTGTTTTTATGACAGTATCATGTTGCTTTGATCACTATAGCTTTGTAGTAGATTTTGAAATAAGGTAGTGTGATGCTTCCAGTGTTGTTCATCTTGCTCAAGATTGCTTTAGCTATTCACAGTCTTTTGTGGTTTCATGCATATTTTAGAATTTTTTTTTTATTTCTGTCAAAAATACCTTTGGGATTTTGAAGAGATTGCAATAAATGCATTAGATCTATAAATTGCTTTAAGTAGTGAGGACATCTTAACAATATTACTTTTTCTAATCTATTAACATGAGATAGCTTTCTATTTATATGTGTCTTATTCAACTTCTTTTTTCAATGTTTTATAGTTTTTAGTGTACAGATGTTTGGTAAAATTTATTCCTAAGTATTTTATTTTTTGGATTCTATTGTTAGTGGTATTGTTTTCTTAACTTCTTTCTCTGTTAAGTCCTTATTAGTGTATAGAGACACTACTGATTTTTGTATGTTGATTTTGTATTCTGCAACTTCACTGAATTTACTAGCTCTGTAGTTTTTTTTTTTTTTTTTTTTTGCTGAAGTTTTAAGGGGTTTCTACATATAAGATTATGTTATCTGTAAACAGAAAAGTTTGCTTCTATCTTTCCAATTTGGGTGTTTTTATTTTTATTTTGTCTAATTGTCCTGGCTAGGACTTTTAGTACTATATGGAATAGAAATAGCAAGAGTGGGAACCTTTATATTATTTCTGACCTTAGAGGAAAAGCTTTCATTTTTTTTACCATTGTGATGATTTTACTATTATGATGTTAGCTGTGGGCTTGTTATATATGGCCTTTATTGTGTTGTGGTACATTCCTTCTATTCCTAATTTGTTTTATCTGATGTCTTATTATGAAAGAATGTTTACTTTTGTTAATGCTTTTTCTGCATCTATTGAGATGATAATATGATTTTTATTTTTTATTCTGGTAGTGTGGCATATCACATTTATTGATTTCCATATTTTGAACCATTCTTGCATCTCAGAGATAAATTCTACTCGATTATGTTGTATGACCCCTTTAACGTGCTGTCGAAGCTGGTTTGCTGTTATCTTGTTGAGTATGTAGTTTTGTCATTTACATTGTCTATTCAAACTGACAGCTTGAATGTTGTGGTTATTAATATGATTTATAATATTCTTCATATTTAATAGGTATCAGTGGCTTGTCACACATGAAGCATACATATTTTTCCCACTTTGTCTTTATTTTTGTTTTTGAAAATTTAAATTCAATATGGTAAAATTTAGACTTTTTTCATGGTTTCTGCTTTTGCTTCCTTGCTTAAAGTTGCATACCTCATGCCATAATTATATACATTTTGCCTACATTTTTACAAGTTATTTTATGGTATAATTTTGAAATAGTTCAATCCAAAAATATTTATAAATGTACATATTCAATTTCTATGTGTCTAAAAATCCAACTTGTTGTTTGTTTTTCAAAAAGTATTTTATTCCCTCCACAGTATGTGGATCTATTTACCTCTCTTTTGAAAATATACCTTTATTACCAGACAAAACTTAGATTAGTTTCTGGGCTTTTTTTAAAAAAAAACTATTCTAATCTTTTTTTTTATTGTGAATAATTTAAGGAATCATTGATTAGTGTACATTCAACAGCACAGAGTTCCTACCGCAACTCCTTCCTGATTGCTAATTGATTAGTTTCTAGATCTGATATGTCATTGATTTCCTCCATTGCATTCCATATGGGTTAACTTTTGTATTTTGTGTGTTTAAGAAAAGCATAAATAGAGATCAACCCAGCACTTTGCTGAGAATTGTCAAATGAATTTAGTGTAATATTGGTTCTCACAATTAGTTTTTCTGTGTGGGTCAGTTTTCTAATTTCTGCACAACTATGGATTGCTGCTTAAAACGGATATTGATTAATTACACAGGGGTCAGCTTAAGATGGGATGTAATTGATCCAATAGCCAGAAGAAAACAGGAAGAAACAAATGTACACTTCTTATTTATGTTTCTTATCTTACTGTATACTCCAAGCATAGTATTAATGAGCAGAGTTGAGAACCTGACTCAGCCACTTATGCTTGCACAATAGGCTCTTGAATAAAGTAGTGATAAGTGTCAAGTATTAAGGTTTTGCATGGGTAATTCAGCATGATCTCTTATCATTAAGGCAGTTCTAGCTACAGCCTCTGTTGAATGTTTGACCTTTCAGAAACAGTCATAGATGTTCAGCCCTTGACATGATTGAGGCATTCAATTGGCAACGTAATGGCACATTGTTTACCCTCTCTACAGTGGAAGAATAGCAATTTGTTCTTACTGGGATAAATGTGTTTTCCACCTGTGGCTTTGACTCTCCTGCCATCAATGCCTTGGCCATTAAACTATCCAAAGATGCATAGAATGCCTAATGTTCTTTGTAACACACCTTAGGACAAAGGAATATATTTTGTAGCAGAGAAGGTACAATAATATGCATACAACCAAATGATCCACTGGTGCTATAATACACTATATTAAACAGAATCTATCAGTCTGATAGAACATTAAAAGATATTTCTTTTAAAGGTGGATATAAAGGTGCAACTAAGTGCCAATTTAGGGATGGTACTTTTCAGAGTTGGGGCTCTGTGCTTTAACATGTTATACTTTGAACCAATGGACATTGTAAGATATTGGGTCCTAGAATATACAGGTTTGTAAACCAAGGGCAGAGGGTGAGAGTGGCTCCTCTCACTAAAACTCCCTTGGAGAATTTGAGCTTCCTGGACCTACAGCATTAAGCTCTGCTGGAGTAGGGAGAATGCTTCTTCTGGGTACATAGTAAGCATTCCAATAAGCATAAAGTTTTAGTAGCTCCATGTCATTTTGGCTTCCTTGTGTATGTAGGTTGGCAGACAAAGAAATAAGTTATTATACTGGCAGTTGTAATTGACCTTCCTTATCATGAGGAAATAGAAATACTGCTATACCTTTATCAACCATAGATGATGACAATTGTAAATTGGAAATTGCAGCAATTACAGCCTGACAGGGCCATGGTAATCATGGGTCTTTGGAAGTGAACTAGACTAGCAGAAGCACTGGATAAACATAAGGGGAATATAGAACAGGTTGTAGAAGAGGAAGATGATGAATGTCATCCTGGGAACAAGTGTAATGACAGGACCCATTAACTCTTGTTCCTTTAACACTCTTGTGTTTGAAGAATTAATGATGGAGTGAACTCACATAGAGCATAAACTCCTCCACGCATGGAAAGATGTGGACTGTTTCTAGTGCTGTTGGTGTCTTGCACATACCCCTCTCCACTTAATATTCCCAAGAGTTTGGATTGTTCTATAAGCTCCTGAGAATCTCTGGCTGAGGACTTTTCTTTGAATATAGAAAAAGCTAAACTCACAAGGTGGGGAAACCTAGAATTGCTGTAGAGAAAATGCCCTAGAGCAGCTCTAGACCAGTAAAGAAATGCACAGCTTCTTTGTTTCTTAAGTGGGACAACTACAAGTCATAGAATTTATACAGTCTCTTGATGGCCACAGCAAGAATGTGCCCTTGATGTCCACTGTAGTAAATACAAATCAATGCATCCTTTATTGGCATCCTCCCCTTTTCTTGCCTGGGGAGGCAGAGGTTGCAGTGAGCCGAGATCATGTCACTGCACTCCAGGCTGGGTGACAGAGAACCTGTGTCAAAAAAAAAAAAAAAAAAAAAAGGAAGAAGGAAGAAGAAGAAAGGAAATATGGCATGTTGGGGATGGGGATGGAAGTGGGTTGCAATTTTTAAAAGGGTAGCCAGGGAAATGCTTACTGAGATTTTTAAGTACAAGTCTGAAGGAGGCAAGGGAGTGAGTCAAACATATACATGCAGGAAGGGCTCTCTAGGAGGAGAAAGCAGTGAGAGCAAAGGCTGGGAGCCAATGCAGCCCTGGTGGCTTCGAAGAACAGCAGAGGGCCAGCGTGGCTGCGGCAGAGGGAGTCAGGGCAGTGTGCTAGGAAGTGAAGGCAGGGAGATGCAGGAGGTGTGGATTGTTGGGGCGTCACAGGCTGTGTGACTCCCAATTGCTGTGTGACAAATTCCCACAAATCCAGCAGCTGCAAATACGACCCAATGTTCCCCAGCTTCTGCAGGTCAGGAGTTGGCACAGCCTAACTGGTCCTCTGTAAGGTGCCATCAGGGTGTCAGCCAGCACTGGGTTCTCATCTAGGGCTCAGCTGTGTGGATGGCTCTGCTTCCAAGCTCACATGGCAGCATTCAGTTCTATGCAGGGTGCTGGACACAAGACCTCAGCTTCCTGGTGAGCATCGACTGGAGGGGGCTCTTAGCTCCTCGCAGCTGATCCCCTCCATGAGGCAGCTTGCAACATGGCAGCCTGCTTCTTCAAAGGCGTCAAGAGAGAGTCCCCAGAAAGACAGGTTATGATCTTAACATTTTATTTATTTATTTTTTGAGACAGAGTCTCGCTCTGTCACTGAGGCTGGAGTGCAGTGGCACGATCTTGGCTCACTGCCATCTCCACCTCCTGAGTTCAAGCAATTCTCCTGCTTCAGCCTCTTGAGTAGCTGTGATTACAGGCGTGCACCACTATGCCTGGCTAATTTTTGTATTTTTAGTAGAGGCGGGGTTTTGCCATGTTGGCCAGCCTGGTCTCGAACTCCTGACCTCAGGTGATCCACCCACCTCAGCCTCCCAAAGTGTTGGGATTACAGGCACGAGCCACTGCGTCCAGCCAGTGATCTTATACAATATGATCAGTACATGAATCACATATATACCGCCTCCTTCATAAGCAAGCCACAGGTTCTGCTTACAACCAGAGAAGGGGATTATTCAAGGGTGTGAATGGCAGAGGTGGGGGTTGTGGGGGTCACCTTAGTATCTGCCACCACAGCCTGTCCTCTGTCCCCAAGACTCATGTCCCTTGTGCATGCAAAACACATTCACCCCTCTTGAGATCCCTTCATGCTCACAGTCCCGAATCTCATCTAAATCGGGTTTAGGTGTAGAACAGATTTCTTTGGATGTTCCTCTGATCTGGAAAACTAAAGATACAAGCTATCTGCCCTCTACATATGCAACACACAATGGTGGGTAAAGCTTGAGACATTGCTGTTCAGAAAGAGGCAGCAGGGGAAGGATGAAGGAATGGTGGTTCTGAAATCCAGCTGGACAGATGCTGGTGTTCCCTAAACAGGTTTTAAGATGTGGGAAGATTCCATGTCTCTTGGCTCTGCCTTCTGGGCTTCTGCCTCTGGGTCATCCTTCTTTTCTCACGAAAGATCCACGTGTTTGCAGCCAAGTAGTTTTATCAGCCTTCTTCTTGACAGCAGAGTTTGGGGTCTCTGACAGTCTTCTTTCATTTTGCACTCTGTCCCCTACAGACCAATCTGCCAGCACTGTGGGTGAAACAGCTTTCCCAAACCCTTTGCCTGTCCTCTGTGGGTTTCAGTGGGGCTCATAGTCGATTTGTCAAGAGCCATACCCATGAATCTTTTAGAGATAAACTCTACCTTTCTACCTTCAGCTCCTGCCAAGATGGCCCCCAGGGTAACTCACTGAAGCTTCCCAGGGGCCCTAAGGTTTGGTGGAGAGGTTCTGCATGGTACACCCTTGTAATCTCTTGCAACAGACCTCTGTGTGACTCATTGCTACTCCCATCCTTTGATCTTTATGCATAATCACAAAAGACTGTACAGTTACACCCTATGCCACATGCTCAGAAGCCATTTGTTAATTTCAGCATCTTTTTCCATGTGGGGAGACTGACAATTTTCAAAATCATCAAGTCCTGATTCAATTTTAACAGTTTAAAAACCAGTCTCTTTCTCAATTTATCTCTCTTCTCTCACACTATATTATAAGCAGTAAGAAGAAACCAGGCAGCATCCTCAACATTTTACTTGGAAATCTCCTCAACTGCATACCCAATTTATCACTTACATGATGTGTTTGCCACGTAACTGCAGGAGACCACTTTTCTAAGCTTTCTGCTCCTACCTAACAAGGATCCCTGTCCTCCAGCTTCTAGTGCGAAAATCCTCACTGCCTTTGAGCAGTGGCGAGTCCTCCGAGCCCAGATATCTAGCAACAGTCTGCTCACCTTAGAGTCTGTCTGTCACCACCTGGGCCATTTCTAAGGGACCATAGCTTTCCTCTGAGATGAGGCTTTGAGCTGAGGAGCCACATGATCTGACATGGTTAAGGATGCCTCTGGCTTCCCTGTTGAGAATAGACTGAAGGGGCAAAAATGGAAGCAGAACAGCAGTTAGGAGGCTCCTGTCAAACCCACGTGGAAGGCAGGCTCTGGGCTGTGTTACTGGACTAACACTAACACCGTCCCCTTGCACTTCTGAGGGGTCCCTGGAACTTCCCCAGGGGATGAGACTCCTGGCTAGCAGGACTCAGCCCCTCCCCTTCAACTTTACTCAGGACCTGGTCTCCCCTCCTTAAGGTCTCTGGAGCCCAACGCACACTTCAGCCCACTCTCACAGGCATTCTCTCTGTCCACAAAATATCAACGAAGAGTCTTCTGTGAGTGCAGCATGGTGTGAACACTGGGAGTACAAGGAGAAATAAGACACAGTTGCTGTGCTGGAGAAGCTTGTGCCCAGTGGTGGTGATACTGCCGGAGGTGAGACCACTATGCCAGCACAGGAACAAAGACGGCAGGGGCACAGGGCAATTCAGGGGTGCAGATCTGGGGGCATCCAAGAGGCTCCTAAGCCTCAGTATATAAACTGACAGGTCACAGCCTGCTCTAGGAAACACCTTCTTAAGGGTTGGAGTTATCTCTGTGCATCCCATCCCCACCCCACCAAGCCGCCCTTGGCCCTGCCCTCAGGAGCCTCTGCTTGGCCTTGCTAATTCCTCTCTTCTCCCTGAAGCTAGAGTGAGGTCCCTCTTGGCAGCCTTTGTATCTAGAGAGAGCCGTCCAATAGAAACATAAGGTGAGCAACATGCTTAATTTTAAAATTTCTAGTAGCTACATTAAACATTTTTAAGTGAAATTAACTTTAATAATAAATTTATTTAACCCAATATATCCAAAAGATTATCATTTCAACATGCAATCCTATTTTAAAAATAACTAGTGAGGTACCTGACAAAAAAAAAATCCCTTTTCATGCTAAGTCCAGAAGATCTTTGTGTATTTTATACTCATAGGACATCTGAGTTTGGATGTTACCTTTTTATTGGAAATATGGGATCTGCACTTAGATTTCACTGAATTTACATTGAAAAGGTAGGTTCACATACCCAAGTTGTCTCACACATACCTAAATGTTTTCTGGTAACTGGATGGAGTATCAGTTTTTATATTTATCTTTGCCTTAGCTAAAAAACAAATTAATAGTGCAGGTCCTCAGCCGCACGCAGGCAGTTTTCTCCACGGTCCAAATGGTTGCCCGAATTCACCCAGACCCCGCTGTCGTCCGCTTTTTCATGCAGACATTCAAACAACTGCCTCCCTTCCTCCTGGCACCCCCACCCCATCGCCAGCAGCCTCCAAACCAGTTTCCCTCCTGTCCTCATCTCAGCCACCCATGACTCACACACACATCTGGCTCCCCTGGCCCACTTTTCACCTGGTCCTCATAATCTATGCATAAACATTAACATACCACAGAGTCAATCTGCATACTGATTACTTCTGCTCTGGTCAAATTCTTGCTTTCAGGATCAGGAGGCTTTCTCCCCACACCAAACTGGGCCTGAGGAAATAGTGTCTTGTCTTCCTGTCACCCCTCCCGTAGTTGCATGTCTAATGAGACAAGGGGTGTCTCAGGTGAAGCAGGACAGGGAGGATGCCAGCACTTGGGTGGGAGAGGCTTGAGGAGTGCCTGTTGGGGGATGTGTTGGGGAAGGATGACTTTTCACATATGGCTCATTGTGTCGGGATGATTTCGTTGTTAAATAAGCACCTACAGGATGATTTCACATTCCATACTTCTAAGTTTTTATAATTTAAATTCTTTCCGCCAGGCTGGGTTTTTTTTTTTTTTCCAAACTTTGAATCTGTGGCTAGAATTGGTTTGATTTACATAATCCTGCCCCTGAGATTTAGCCCCACCCCTGAGAGCCCCCTCAGAGCCACCCACAGCCAGGACACCTCTGCTGGCCTCCCCTTCCCCAGCCTTCCAACTTGTGGCAGGCCCCTGGCTCTGGCCTCCCCCTATATGGGAATGAGCCAGCTGCACCGCTGCTGACAGTGGCTGGGATAATCCTCCCTGAGCTGTTCCAAGGATTAGTCCTGCTGCCCTGTGCCCAGCTCCCACACAACGGGGTTTCGGGGCTGTGGACCCTGTGCCAGGAAAGGAAGGGCGCAGCTCCTGCAATGCGGAGCAGCCAGGGCAGTGGGCACCAGGCTTTAGCCTCCCTTTCTCACCCTACAGAGGGCAGGCCCTTCAGCTCCATTCTCCTCCAAGGCTGCAGAGGGGGCAGGAATTGGGGGTGACAGGAGAGCTGTAAGGTCTCCAGTGGGTCATTCTGGGCCCAGAGATGGGTGCTGAAGCTCCCACGCCTGCCTGTGAAAATGGAGTCCTCTCTCACCTGGGAGAGCCAGGTGCTGCCCCGAGAAGGATGCATTTATGGCTTCATGAAGTCTTTCCTGACCCCCGATGCTGCTGACTATAGGTAAGTCTGAGCAAATCTGGCGGAGCCTCATCTTGGCATGAGAAAGAGATGGCTTCTTCTAAGCCCACTGGCCGTGATCCCAGGATTATAACACATTCTGGCTCAAGTCCAGACTATTTGTAGAACACAGGAGATCCTCCATGAGAGGTAGTATAATATAGAGGATATGTGTGCTTACTAAGAGGCTGCCTGTCTGACCTTGGACAAGTTCTTTTTATTTATTTATTTATTTTTTATAGAGACAAAGACTCACTATGTTGCTCAGGCTGGTCTTGAACTCCTGGCCTCAAGCGATCCTCCCACCTCAGCCTCCCAAAGTGTTGGGATTATAGACATGAGCCACTGCACCTGGCCGACCTTGGGCAAGTTCTTAAACCCTTCAAAGCCTCATTTTTCTCCAATCACAAAAGGGAAAGATGGTAATATTTTCCCCACCAAATTCTTGTAAGTATTAAACATTGTATATGTATTTTGAACACGATTAAGCTCTAAACACTTGTTAGGAAGCAGGACTGGCATTTGAAACAAACAGCTCTTTTCCCACAGGTCGGATGCCCTCACAGAATTGAGATTATGTACGTAAAACACAAGGTGCCTAACCCGGCACAGAGCAGGAGGGCTAAGCGTGACATCCAGCACGTGGTCAGTGGAATCCAGTATTCCTACCCACCTCTCTAGTCTCCCCTCCACCCCTCTCCCTTTCAGAGGCACCAAGCTGCTTGTGGTCTTGTCTGTTCCCACTCCCTGCCTGACTGAACATTTTCTCCACCTCCTGATCATCAGCAGCAGAAACTGGCTGCTCTTCCTGCTGGGTAGACAGCCAGACTGTATTTCCCAGCTGCCCCTGCAGTGAGATGTGGCCATCGGAGCCAGCATTGGCCAATGGACTCTGCATGGGAGTGACGCATGCTGCCTCCAGGCTTGTCCCTAAAACCTCCCACGTGTCCTCCGCCTGCTCTTCCCACCTCCAAGGAGCACGGCAATTGTGGAAGACCCAGATTAGTGATGGCAGAACCATAGATGGGAGGAACCTGGGTCCCTGACTTAAAGTATCATGGATTTGGATGTTCCCTTAGTGAGAAATAAACTTCCATTGTGTTTAAGCCTTTATTTGTTTATAGTTGGTTACAGCAACTGCCTTCTTTTAATTAAAACACTCCTGCTGCTTCATGTTGCTGGAATGCTTGTAACCCTGCCCTGCTTCACCAGGGTAACTCCTACTTGGCCTTTAAGTTTATCTCTGCTGTCACACCGTCCAGAAAGCCTTCTCCCAGCACCACAACCCCTCCACCAAGGGTTAGGTGTCTCCAGCAGATGCTGCACAGCTGGCTGCCCTTTGCCCACCCTCCCCTTCTTTCTCATAGAATCCTAGGACTCCTCTGTATCTAGAAGGAGTTGTGTGGTCCAGTGCTGGCCAAGAAGATGTGAGAGCAAGTCGCTGGGTGGAGATTCTTAGGAAAACTTCTTAAAAAGAATGAGACTGGGCTCCTTTCTGCCTTTTACCATTTTTGTGTATGCTTGCCTTCTTCCCACCTGGGACTCTGATGCAGCACCTGTGAATGGGCACACATATTACAACTCTTAGGCTGAAACCCACGTTCTCAGGCAGAGGTCTCTTGTGGGCATTTAGTGCTATAAATGTCTCTTTACACACTGCTTTAAATGCGTCCCAGGTCTTAGGGTATATACCCAAAGGATTATAAATCGTGCTACTATAAAGACACATGCACATGTATGTTTATTGTGGCAGTATTCACAATAGCAAAGACTTTGAACCAACCCAAATGTCCATCAATGACAGACTGGATTAAGAGAATGTGGCACATATATACCATGGGATACTATGCAGCCATTAAAAAGGATGAGTTCATGTCCTTTGCAGGGACATGGATGAAGCTGGAAACCATCATTCTGAGCAAACTATCACAAAGACAGAAAACCAAACACTGCATGTTCTCACTCACAGGTGGGAATTGAACAATGAGAACGCTTGGACATGGGGCAGAGAACATCATACACTGGGGCCTGTCAGTGGGTGGGGGGCTGGGGGAGGGATAGCATTAGAAGAAATACCTAATGTAAATGACAAGTTGATGGGTGCAGCAAACCAACATGGCACACGCATATCTATGTATCCAACCTGCACATTATGCACATGTACCCTAGAACTTAAGTATATAAAAAAAAAAGAAAAAAAACTTTCACCTTTTTCCAAAGTGTTGGGATTATGGGTGTGAGCAACCACATCTGGTCCTTTTTTTTTTTTTTAATGGAGGTGAAATTCATATAAGTTTGACCATTTTAAAGTGAACAATCAGTGGCATTCAGTACATTCACCATGTTGTGCCAACACTATCTCTATGTAGTTCCAAAACATTTTCATGAGCTCAAAATGAAACCTTGTACCCATGAAGCAGCCACTTCCCATTCTCCCCTCCCCTTAGCCCCTGGAAATCGGCTTTCTTTCTCCACGGATTTACATATTCTGTATATTTCCTATAAATGGAATTACACAATAGGTGACCTGTGTCTGGCTTCTTCCACTTAACCTAATGCTTTTGAGGTTCTGTCACATGGTGCCATGGATCAGCTCTGCCTTCCTTTTTATGACTAATACTCCACTGTATGTCCATATCACCATTTGTGTATTCACTCATTAGTCTATGGACACAAGCCTCATTTTTAAGCACTTCAAATATGTTAACTCACTGAATCCTCACCACAAAGACAGATGCAGTTATTACATATTGACAGAGTGAAAACTGAGGCACAGGTAACATGCCTAGGATCACGTGGCTATGAAGCAGAAAGAGGACTCCAGCCGAGGCAGTCTAGTCCCAAAGTCCTTCCCTTCCTAGTAACCACTATGCTCTCCTGCCTCTCAGAGAACAACCCACATGGCACAACACGAGGGCTAAGCTGTCTGGTCTGTCTGGTGAAGCTTCAAATGCTGTTCATTTCAGATAAGGGGAGGTTCCTGGGCTGCAGAGGCTTCCTAGAGGAGGAAGACCATGTAAGGTCTAACTCAGGGCAGGTCAGGATGGTGTGAATTCACTCTGAACACAGTCACCGATGGGTGTTTATGAAAACTGGCTCTGGAACTCCCACAGGGAAGGTTCTTATCTTTGCGTGCACAACACAGAGCCCTCTGGGTAGACTTCTAGACCCAGGCCTCTTTCAAATACATTAGAAACCTCAGCAAGATAAACTATTTTCTGTCTGGCTGCATCTGTCTATCTGTTTAGAGAGCAGGACATTTCCATCCTCCTCTCTCCAGGCATCCTTGGAAGTCTTTCCCACAAGCAAGACATCTTGGTGAAATTTAATGCTGCGGAGGGAAGTGGTTTTCAGGAGAGAGGAGTCTGTTCCCAGAACTGTAGCACAAAAGCTAGAGGCTGAGTAGGAACATCTTAAACTAAGTCCTCAGTCTTATTTCCAGTTTTCTTCCTGTAGATCGGGGCTTAGGACACCCTGTCACATTTTCTTCACTCCTCCACCAGGAATTCCTAAAATCCATGCTCTTGGATCCTGGCAAATCCAGGAGGCTGGGGGATGTGGCAAGCTTCAGCAAGACTGCCTGGGACCAACCCTGCAGCCTTAATTTCCCAGGCCCGCTCAGCCCAGCTGGCCAGCAAAGGCAGGCAGAGCTTCCGTGTCCACACATGAGAATGACCTGCAGCTGTTCTTTGTCCAGGCTGAGGTCCAGGATTCCCATTGCAGCTCCTAGGAAATCTTTAAAATTAGGTCGGGGATGAGCCTGTCAGTAGATTAGGTAGGGAACTTTTATGAAGTTGAGGGTGAACCATCTGGAGGGTGAACTGGCTGGTGTGATTCTAGAACTGGGGGTGGTGCCTAGCAGTGCATTTGTGAGAAGACACAGCCAGGCTTGGTATATGATGTGGTGTGTGTGTATATTCACAGGCATCGTGGAGCATATACACTTTTTTTGTGTGTGTTGAAATCTTACAGATTACAAAGTACTTTTTTTTTTTTCTGAGACAGGGTCTCTCTCTGTCGCCCAGCCTGGAGTGCAGTGGTACAATCATAGCTCACTGCAGCCTCGATCTCCCAAGCTCAAGTGATCCTCCCGCCTCAGCCTCCCATGTAGCTGGGACTACAGGTGTGTGACACCATGACTGGCTATTTTATTTTATTTTTGTAGAGATGGAATCTCACAATATTGCCCAGGCTGATCTCAAACTCTTGGGCTCAAGCAGTCCTCTCGCGTCAGCCTACCAAAGTGCTAGGATTACAGGCATGAGCCACCACGCCCAGCCAGATTACAAAATACTTTGACATCTTTTCTCTACAGCCCTCAAAAGGAGGCAGGGCAAGCACAATTAAATCCCATTACAAATGGGGTGACTGAAGCTCCATTCATGGCTTGCCCAGGGTCACACAAAGAATGAATAGCAGAGCCCTGAGCCTGTGTGCTTCCCTCTGTGCCAGGCTGCTTTACCCAGGCATGGGTGCACCTTGTGCATGGGACATTTCTCCTTTGTTGTGTCCTGAGTACCTTAAGCCACTCAGATATTGCTCAGGTGGAGTGAGGGGAAAATGTTTTCAGGTTGTATTAGTCAAAACAAAATACCACACACTGGGCGACTTTAAAATCATACATTTATCCCTCACAGTTCTGGAGGCTTGGAAGTCCAAGTTCAAGGTGGCAGCTGGACGGGTTCCTGGTGAGGGCTCTCTTCCTGGTTTGCAGACAGCCACCTTCTCTTCGCATCCTCACTTGGTGGGAAAAGACAGAGGAGAGAAAGAGAGAGAGAGAAAAATGAGATAGAGAGAGAGAGAGAAATGAGATAGAGAGAAATGAGAGAGAGAGAGAGAGAGAGAGAGAGAGGGAGACACAGAGACAATGCTCTCTTTTCTTACCAGATCTATAATGAGGGCCCCACCCCATGACCTCATCTAACCGTAATTACCTACCAAAGGCCCATCTCCACATACCATCACATTAGGGGTTAGGGTTTCAACATAAGCATTTGGAGAGGACATAAACATTCTGTCTACAACATGAGTGGAGATCCATCTCTTCTTTACCTCTGGTAAGGGGACCACACGCTGCAGCCAGCGAGACAGTGGCATGTTCTTGTTACAACTCGATCTAACTCCCCCAGAAGAGGAGGCAGGGAAGGCGGACAAAACTGGGAGAGGGAGAGAGTGTTAGGAAGAGAGTAGGGTGGCCAGAGGCAGCAAATAAAATATAAAATGCTTAATTCTGAATCTCAGATAAACAACCAATAATGTTTTTTAGCATAAGTATGTCCCAAACTAAGCTTGGGACATATTTATGCTACGAAATTATTCGTTGTTTATCTAAAATTCAAACTAGCTGGGCATCCTGTCTTTTAATCTGGCAACCCTAAAAGGCAAGGGCCAAAAATGCCGGAGGCAAGCCAACGGATTCCAGGAGGGACAACTGCTGGACTTTGGACTGATGATGCTCTTTTTATATATTTAACTTTTTAAAAAAGCCTCTTTTCTTTCTTTTTACCAGCTTTTCACTAGCTTTTTAAAAATTGTGGTAAAACATACATAACCTAAAATTCACCGTCTAAACCATTTTTCAGCATACAGTTCAGTGGGATTAAGTAGATTCACACTGTTGTGCCGCCATCACTACCACTCATTTCCAGCACCCTTCCATCACCCCAGCCTGAAACTCTACCCATTGAACACGAGCTGCCCAACTCCGCCTTGCTTCCCCATTCCTGGCGACCACTGCTTCTGTCTCTGTGAATTTTGACTATTCTAGGCACTTCACAAAACTGGACTCATACGATATCTGTAGTTTTGCGTCTGGCTTCTCTATTGAATTCTTAAAGGGGGGTGGGAACTAAGCAGATCACAAGGGAGCTGCCCACAGAGGTAAAGACAAGGTCAGGTAGGCTGAGAGACGCAGGAAAGCGGGTCAAGGCGTAGGGCTGGAGGGCAGGGGCGGGCCCTGGGCGTGGGCTGGGGGTCCTGCCCCGGGGCGCACCCCGGGCGAGGGCTGCCCGGAGGAGCCGAGGTTGGCGGACAGCTTGGCCCTGAGCTTGAGGGGAAGGCAGCGATGGGACAAAGGACGGAGGTCTAGGAAGAGGGTCTGCAGAGCAGAAAGCACGGGTAGGGGCGGCCTGACGCTCGGAAGACAACGGATGGGAGCCGTGTGCACGTCGGGAGCTGGGAGTGAGCGTGAGTTCCGTGCCCAGGCCCGCGACTCGGTCCACGAGGACAGCGCTCCGGGTCGACGGGGTCCTGGAGCCGCGCTCGGGGAGGGCGCAGCGGAGGGCGAGCGGCGGCGTTAGGACCCGGAGGCGCGGGCGGACTGTGGGCGGCGGGGCTAGGACCCAGCGGCTCCGGCAGAGCGGAAGCGGCGGCGGGAGCTTCCGGGAGGGCGGCTCGCAGGTGAGGAGGCGTCCGGGGCCGCGGGAAGTAGGGTCGTGGGGGCCTGGCGGGGCGAAGTAGGGGACCCGGAGGGGCTGGAGGGAGGCGGGCGGGAGGCCCGGGACCGTTCCTGACCGAGAAGCCTGCGCCAAGCTGGTGTTCCGCGGCCGCTGCCCGGTGCCCGGCTCCACTGCGAACGCCGCCGCTGGGCCCCGACCGCCCGGGAGGCGTCTTGGGCTCGCCCCGGAGCTTCCTCCCTGGAGCCGCGCCCTGCACCCGGCCTTGCCCGGCCCTAGCAGGGAAGCCAAGGCTTGTGGGGCGCAGGGACCCGGGCTCTGCGGGGTCCCGGTTCCACCTCCCCACTCCTGCGTCTTCCCGCCCCGGCCGGGTTCTGGGAAGCCTCGCGCGGCTCTTCCGCAGCTGCTGCCCGCCCGGAGCTCCTGGTCCCTCGTAGGGGACCCCACTTCTCTGACACCGCGTTGGGTTCCCGGGGCCTACAGCGAGGCCTGTAACTCCGGGAGAGACCCTGGAGCGGGGTGTGGGAGAACGGTCTGGAGGAAGGGCTCCGAGCACTTCGAAAGTATAAACCGCGGTCCCAAAGAGGCGTGCTGTGTCTGCATTTTCCTGGGAGTGCACGGTTTACATTCTCGAAAGTAGTGCTGTCGACTAGAAATATTGAGCGATACACATGTACAAGTTTTGTCACTTAAAAAGAATTTGAAAAAACTTCATAGATGCAAAAAAAAAAAACCCACCATTATTAAAGAATACTTAGGTATTTGTGGAATGCATTGAAGAGTTAACAAAATGGATAGGCAGGAAATATCGCAGACCTAGAATGAATTACAGCTACCCACTGTGGAACTGAGGAGCTAGGGTTTCTCATAAAACTCCCTGATAGAAGACGACTTTTGATAAAATTTTTTTTCCGCCAACAAAATCCCCTGTCTTCTCAACTAGTTACTGTCTGTCCACTAAATAAGAGGTGGTCCGTCACTTCTTCAGATGAGCAACTACAGGCTTTTCAAAAGATAATTGCTAATCAACCCCTTTGTGCCTGGGTTTTCTTATTTGTAAAAATAGATACTACTACCTAACTCCAAAGTGTGTGGTGAAGACAAACAATTGGGGTGATGTATACTAAAGTAACGAAAGTGTTGACCATACACTACGGGCTGGTTAGTGTTAGATTCCCTTGTTTTTCCCTCAGTATCAAAAACAGATCTAATTTAGGTTTACATAAAGACAAAATATGAAGATAAGGTGACTTACAGTTGGTACTACTAACAAAATGTTTGGGCTAAGATTTGCATTATTGCATGAAAACAACAAAACATATCAATAAATAACAAAAAGCTTGGAATTCAGACAACAGATCCAAGTCTGGGCTTGATCTCAAGCTAGTGTTTTGATGTTGAAAAAATGTTATTTGGTCTTTCTAACCCCATTTCCTTATGTAAAATTGGGGATGATGATAAATTCACTGATAATAAGAGTTAAATGAGATTCTTGAGGAGTCAGAATGGTTCTAACATGTGTAGGTATTATTAGCAGTCATACTGTAGCATAAGAAAATACCGTCTGCTGAAAGAGGGACAATAAAGATTATCTACATGGTCATCATTTAAAAGCTACCAGATATAGGAAGAAGGGGCCATAAAATGATAACGTTATGATGATTAATTTTGATGCTTAGGTCAGAGTCCATTCTAGGATATCTGCTGCCCAAAAACAGCAGAGACTCATTTCTTTGGAATCACAGGACGCTGAGTGAGAGGAAAGAAAAAGAAAAGAAATATTTAAGTCACATATGTGATTTCTAAAAGTAAAAAGAAACAGATGAAATTAGTGATATATTTTTAAAATCCAGTATATCCCAAATATGGTTATTTTAGCATGTAATCAATATAAAATAATAAGATATTTTACATTCTTTTTTTCTAGCCTTTGAAATTTGGTGCATATTTTACACTTATGGCACATCTCAATTCAGACTATCCACATTTCAAGTGCTCAGTGGCTGCATGTGCCTGGTGGCTACCATATTGGACAGCACAGGTCTAAGGATTTCATTCCTGCCACAAGTCCAAACTCCTAGCTTTAATTTTGAGTGTTTTTAACAAACTGGCCTCTGTTTATCATTCTTTCTTCTAGTACTTCCCCAAGGATGATTGTACCCTCAGCACTCAAGACCGCTTGCGGTTCCCTTACACACTTTTTGTTCAAGCTGTTTCTTTTACCTGGAATGCTGTCTTTGCACCTTCTTCCTGGACCTGGTTCACCCTTGTTGCCTAGGCTGGAGTGCCATGGCGCGATCTTGGCACACTGCAACCTCCACCTTCCCGGTTCAAGTGATTCTCCTTCCTCAGCCTCCCGAGTAGCGGGGATTACAGGCATGCACCACCACGCCTGGCTAATTTTGTATTTTTAGTAGAGATGGAGTTTCACCATGTTGGTCAGACTGGTCTCGAACTCCCGACCTCAGGTGATCTGCCTGCCTTCGCCTCCCAAAGTGCTGGGATTACAGGCGTGAGCCGCTGCGCCCGGCCGAGAGGCACACATTCTGCTAAGAGCTTTTTCCTGACTCCCCTAACTCCAAGAGGGATTTGTCACTCCTTAGCTTTGTACTCATGACTGGAGTAGAATGAATTTAATTTGAGTTTAGTTGTTTTTGAGACTCTCCCTGGCTAGTGTAGTGTCTTATTCGTCTTTGTTGTGATCATGGCCTGCACCTAACAGATGATCAGTAGATGTTTGCAGACAGAAAGTAAACCACTCATCAGGTGTATTCAGTCCCATTCTTGAACGGGCTTGCTGCCTCCTTTTTGAGGAGATCTGTGTATGTACTATTCTTTCACGCATATGTGTGAGCAAACACACACACACTAACAAGAAATTCATCTGAAGATGTGCACAGGAAATATCTTGCATCTTTACCCCCTTTGTGATCTTACATATGGGAGAACTGAGGCACAGAAATAAGTTAGGACAGCCAGCAAACTTGCATCAGTATAAATACAAAGAAGGGGAGGGAGGAACATGCTTGAAAGGGGTGTGCTGGTCTCAGAGGGTTAGGTTTCTCAGTTGGCTGGGCATCAGCTGGCCATGCTTTAGTTATTTGATGGGAGGAAAAATAAGTGGGAGGTGAGGAGTAACTCCTGGGCTCTGATGAGTATTCAAGGCAAGTACAGATCTGGAAAGCCTGTATGCAAAGGAGGAACTCACTGAAAAGTGCTGGCCTGAGGAGGGCAGAAGGGAGGGCTGGGGAAGCCAGCAGCGGGAGCAAAGGAGTAGGCTCCTACTGGGTGAAGATGTTGGTGTGGTGCGTTATGTAAAATATACAAATTATTATTGGGAATAACCACGTCTCAGCAGTGCTAGTTCTCAGTTTGGAGAATGGGAAATCGAAAGGATCAGATTCAGAGACGGCAACTTACTCAAGGTCACAGCATTTTAAACCCAAATGAAATCTCCTAGGCCCTTCATGCCACACTCATCCATCCCTACCTACTTGTGTTGCAACCAAGGGCCCCACTGTAGTGCCTAGGGGAGCAGGTCTAGGGCACAGTGCCAGGCCTGATTAATGTCTTCCTTACCATTTTCCAGCGAGGGGCTGTGATTAGGCCTATTTATAGGGGCCTGGTCCCTTAATATTCTGCCTGGTGCATCTCTTGCCAATCAAATCAGTGCTGTCTGCAGTGTGATTGCTGCTTTAGTGGCACCAGGGAGAGGAGTTAATTAAACCCAATATAAATAGACTCTGCCCTCACTTTGCAATTCCAGGAGTGTTTTTCCTTCCTGTCCTCCACCCCCACAGGCACCTCTTTCCTCTTGTCCCCCTAAGCTCTAGCCTGGGTGAGCAGGGCTGGCTACTCCTATACCTAGAGTCACTAGCCACTTGCCCAGTCTGTTTCAGGAGCAGGCCTCAGATTCCTCAGGGGTTAAAGTGGGAAGAACCCGTGTGTGCACATTTTTTGTGCTTTTCCAGAACTGGGTACCATTTGGCAGTTGATCACCCAATCTCCCCCGCTACCCCATTTCTACCCCTTTGTTTCCAGCCTCTTTTTTCCTCTGCAACCAAGGTTTCTTGTTTATCCAAGGTGGGGAGCTGAACTGAGACAAGGTATGGAAAGGGTGCCTGGCAGGTAGCAAGCACCTTGTAGGGGGTCAGAAATGTTGCACCTTCTCTGAACTCCTCCATTGACCCTACAGATTCCCCAGTCCCGGGCCCTGCCCTTTCCCTCATTCACTCAGCAGGCATCAGCAGAGTCCCATCTATGCGCTCCTGGCCTCTCACCAAATGCTCTGTCCCCTACTCCCCTATCTGTGCAGGCTGAAGCTATGTGCATAGTTGGGATGAGGGCTGTGTTGTCTCAACACCACCCTGCCCTGTGGTGGGTGGGTGCAGGTGGTCGTGGGTGGCTGTGATGCTCCGGCTCCCACCCACAGGCACCATGACTCCTGTGAGGATGCAGCACTCCCTGGCAGGTCAGACCTATGCCGTGCCCCTCATCCAGCCAGACCTGCGGCGAGAGGAGGCCGTCCAGCAGATGGCGGATGCCCTGCAGTACCTGCAGAAGGTCTCTGGAGACATCTTCAGCAGGTGGGTGCTGCCACCCACCCCCACCTGATGAGAGGGCCATCCCTGTCCTGGGCAATCCCAGCAACACACCCTCTGGGAGCAGCCCCCTTGGGGAATCCCGGTCCTGGGGAACCCATCTGGCTTCCCTGTGTGGGAGGGGCTGAAGTGAGAGCCCAACTTGGAAGCTTTTACTCCTGGGAGTCCGAGAGC
This sequence comes from Homo sapiens, assembly GCF_000001405.40. Classification (NCBI taxonomy): domain Eukaryota; kingdom Metazoa; phylum Chordata; class Mammalia; order Primates; family Hominidae; genus Homo; species Homo sapiens. Next base: position 72,550 of record NW_021160015.1, read on the forward strand.
TCACTCCCTTCCACCCCACTTAGCCTCCTGGTTTCCTGTGGTGGCTCTGCTCTCACAACTCATGCTTTTCCTCCCATTGGAGGGCCTATTCCTTCACGTTTTCCTGCAGCCAACAAATATTTACCCAGCAGTGCTCGTGTGCAAGGCAGTGTGGGAATCTCTATATATCCAGCCACGGATAAGGCAACATACCTCTCCACCTGGAGCGCACATTCTGGCAGGAGAGAAAGACCTAAATAAGCAATAGATGATTAGTTCTTCAATAACAGTTGTGACAAGGTCTATTGATAATATTTTGTAATCACTAATATTCATATAAACCGTGCACAACCATTGATTTGAGTGCATTAACTCACACTTCATGAGCAGGCACTGCCGTCATCTCATTTTATAGATGAGGAAACTGAGGCACAGAAAGGCTGAGAGACCTGGCCTAGTGACAGAGCCAGGATTCAAAGCCATAGATCATGGCCCCGGGTTATGTAGGTTATTACTGCATCTGTTCAGGGGAGATGGGGTACTGTGAGGCTCGTCATGGGAAGCCTGGCTTGGTCTCAGGTCAGGGAAGGCAGATGTGAGGAAATGACATTTATGGTAAAGTCTGAGGGTTGAGTGGGTAGGTTGGGAAGAACATTCCAGAAAGAAGCACATGAACTACAGCCTGGAGGTGGAGGACCTAAAAGGAAGCCAGCATGGCTGGAGCACGGAGTGGCCATTGAGGGAGGCGAGCTGGAGGGCTGCAGCTTCTTGTATTGGCAGTGCTGACCTCGCACAGTCCTTGGGCTCCAGTGACTTCACTCAGTGTTTATCTAACATGAGTGAGTGAATGGTGTTTGCTGTTTTTTTGGTAAAGGTCCCAGGGGTTGTCGGGTACACAGGTCCTGTCTTTGGCCATAAGCAAACTGAAATGAGGCTTGGTCTCCTTCCCAGGATCCCACACCATGCCTCACATGGTAGACCCCAGTGGGAAGTATGTGACTGCCTGACTCAGGTGCCTCTCGTGGTCCAAGCCATCCCTGCCCTGTCCCTTCCCTGGTTGTCGCCAGACCTGGAGCCCCTGCTCCTTCACTTTGCAGCCTCCTCTTCTGTCACCAACTGGGAACCCACCTCTTCCTGAAAGTCCTCCCCCACTGACTCACCGGCTTGCCCCGAGCTTGTCAAGAATGTCCCAGTAACCAGGGGACACACACTGAAGTGACTGAGGGGTTACCTTGGAGTTGATGCCTTGGCTCAGATCCAGCTCCCCTGTTTTCTTCCTCTGTAACCTTGGGCAACCCAACCCCTCTAAGCCTCGGTGTTCTCATTTGTGAAGTTGTGGTAATAATGGTAGCTTCCTGGTAGAATTATTGTAAATATTAAATTAATCAAAACATGAAAAGGAATGGAACAGTGCTTGGCACCTAGGAAGCCTTCAGGAAATGCTATCTCTTCCCTGTTGATAATCTTGACCCGTACACTGCCTTTGGTTGCCATTCATGAACCTGCCACCAATAGTAACAAAGTGCTGGATGCACCTTTTGTGCTTATCTTTGTGCTAAATGTGCCCGAGGGACACCTAGGGAAGAGGATGCAGGTCTTTAAGAGCCATCAGCTCCAGATTATGGCCACCCCATGTCCAGCACTTAGAATGGAGGCCAAAACCATTCCCTCGGAAATTGTGTTTCCTTGCCAAGATGGGGACTGCGTGGTTGCCCTTCTCTGAGGGCAGCGCTGGATTTTTGGCGTCTTTCCTTTCCTGTCCTGGTACTTGGCACCTTGTAGACAGTTGCATGTCCCCTGCCCAGGGATGGGATGAGGAGAGGGCAGGAAGGCATTTCCTGGGTAGTGGAGTGCTGTGTTCATTGAGTGTGGGTTCTCCAAGCTGCTGGCACAGCGCAGGGAGGGCCAGATGCCTCTCAGGAGCCTTGGGCCTGAGTCCTGGCTCCCTCACTCCTGGGTTCCAGGTCACTGCATCTGTCTCTCCACCATGTGCTCCACCTCGTGCTGGACCTTAAGAGATACCAATTATGTGGCTGCCACTGTGTCCTAGAGGCTGGAATGGGAACACATAGGGCGAGATTGATTGTTAATTGCTAGCATGAACCGCGTGGGCTTCTCAGGGTCTAGAGTGGAGAGAAATCGGTAAGAATTGGTGGCACGCCTGTCAGAACTCCCCAGACCAAGCTAAGCATAAATTAACCAATCAGTAGAGCAGCCTTCGGAGTAAGGGCTAAAATGATGTCCTCAGGGCCTGGTTTTGCTTTCCTTCCATGTCAGTTTGCTTCTTTGGGTCTGGCTGCATTCCCAGACAGGCCATGCTCTCGTGGTAGCAAGGTGACATGACACAGGGTCAGGTCCAGCAGGAAAGAATGCTGTCCTGTGTCCCCACTTCCTCCAGAAGCCACACTCACCCATCCCACCTGGCTTGGTCCTCATGTCTATCCCAGAATCCATTAATGGGGCCAGGGGACTATGACACACCACTTGGCTTAGACTGAGGAGCTCTGTGGGCAGCCCCACCTGAAGCTCTGGGACTAAGCCTGCGAGAGAGATGGATTCCCCAAGGGAAATGGGGCCATTGCTTGAGTAAAAAGGAAATAGTTGCTGAAGAGGAAAACCACGTGCTTACTCCACATAGGGCAGACTCCTGGAAGAGGGGGGCAGGGTAGGGAGGTGGATATGCAGGTTGCCCTGGCAGGGTCTGGAAATGGGGGCTGCAGGCTTGGAGGGAGGCCTCAGTGTGGCTTGGAACGTGGTGTATGGTGGTCTGCCGCGAAGGCCGGCCTGCACAGGGGTGGGAGGGGGGTGCTTCTGCATGGGAAGCACAGACAGCGCTGCCTCTCCCTTGCACTCAGCTCTCGGGGCATGAGAGGCTGACTTTCCGTGAGCCTGTGGGCCAGGCCTCTTTGAATGGGGCTGAGGGAGCTTTGCCCTGGTTCCTTTGTGTCCCCACGGTGCCACGGGAGGCTCCCTGGCAGGGTGTGGGGCAAGGCAGTGAGTGAAGAGTTGGGATGAGTGAGTTAGGGCCCACGGATTACTCAAGACAGGACTTCAAGTTGATTCAGGCGTGTTAGGGAGCTGTGATTGGATTTTGAGCAGGGCAGGGATGGGACAGAAGAGTTTGGGGAAGGTTCCTCAGGCATCCGTCACGGAAGGGACAAGAAGGGAGAGAGAGTGGATGCCAGGGACACCCAGAAGCTGTTATTGTAGTCAGGATACGACAGGGGTGAGGCTACAGACAGGGGACTTGCAAGCAGGGAGGGCAGGGTGAGACATTCAGAGGAAACGACAACAGGAAATGGTGACAGATAGGGAACGAGGATGAAGGGAAGGGAGAGCCAGTGACGACTGGCAGTGGAGTGGGGAGCACCGCCACCTCTCCTCCTCCACTTGCCCCTCCTGTGGCACTGGACAAGCTAGTGGGCTTTTCGTTGTCCATGGGCTTTTTCGGTGGGGATGTGACCAGCTTTGAACCCGTCCCCTTAAACATGCTCCTCCTGCATGGAAGAGACAGGGGCAGGGGAGAGACTCTCTCCCCACCACCCAGCTCAGGCCCCAGCACAGCCCGGCCTCTGGCCTCACTGGCGTCTGTGCCCAGTGACGCAGGCAGGTGAGCTCCTGGCAAATTAGCATTGCAGGCTGTGCTCTCTCCTCCTGCTCTGCTGCAGCTGGGAGTGTGCAGAGACTGGAGGGGATGACAGTCACCCTCTGTTTTCTGTGGTGGCTCTGTTTTCTGTGGTGCTGGATGCACCTCTGTTTTCTGTGGTGGCTCCAAGAGAGTGCACGGTCCCTGCTGATTGAAAGAAGGATGAAGGGCAGAAGAGGGGCGGGGAGCTGTGTGCCCTAAGATCTCATTGCCTTTTTATGCCGATTAACATGCTTTTAGCCCCTACTGAGCTTATAGTTAACAGAAGTTTCCGGGTCTTTCTTCACCTGAACTGTGTCTAAAGCAAGTTCCCTCCACCTTCTGTATTTATATGCTTGATTTTTAAAACCTAAATGTTGGGCTTCACATTTGTTCCTTGTAAATTTCATCTTGGTGATTGCAGTCTACCCTCTGGCCTTTAAAAATTGTCTGAGCCTTGATTCAATCATGAAACCAGCTTACCCTTCCCCTGTGTGCTGGCCCCAGTTTTCTAACCAGGTGTTGAATGAACTGGATGGACTCTGCCAGATCCCTCCGTGCAAGGCTGGAATCAGTCCATTGTTCAACTGTGCCCTTTGGGGCTGTGGTTCATTTGGCTCTGATTTTTCCTATATGTTCTCTCCTCCAACCCCCATAGCTCCATCTTGTCTACAAGATTTTGTTAGAAGCCGTCAAAATCCTGCTGACTTGAGATGCACTGTGCTGCATGTTTTCCCCGGGCACAGCAGGCTAATAATCCTGTTACAAAGAGAAATGCTGTACATTTCGAGCAGTGCTGGCCCCTGGGGCTCACCGCGGCCTTTTCTAAGTGCTTACAGACTCTCTGTTTAATAATCCATTCCAGAAATTTTCCAGGGCTCATTGTTGAGCTTGGTGTTCGCAACTTTGAGTGATCAGCCCTTCTCCTTTGTGGGAGCACCAGGACAGAGCAGCCTTTGTCCCTCCCCAGTCTCAGTTCCCTCCCACTGCCCCTGTGGACCTCGAATGCAGAGCTTATGCACCTACCGAAGGTCGTGTCAGCACCCAAAGCAGAATGAGGCTGCCCTGGGAACTAGGGTCAATTAAGACAGCTTGTGCTGGAGGACCCTTTACAGCAGATGAAGGCCTCTCCCCAGCCAGAAAAGATGGAGCACACGCTGGGTGGTGGCCCCGCTTCCTCACTGGAAGGAGATGGTGCTCTTCTTTTTTCTTTCTGAATTGTGGCCACCTTCATACCAGTCTGTCATGGAACACTTAAGCCGCTTGAGTGCCTGCTGGTACTCCCAGCCCTGCCATGCCTGAGCCCCCTGCACACAAGGAGCCAGGAGTAATCAGGGCAGACCCTTTAGGGCATGGGGACTTCTGGATTGTGAAATTGGCTCTCTGGGGGCCAAGGCCTTCTAACGTTGGTGGAAGTGGCTTTGGCTTATTGGGTCGGATTCTAGGCCATTCATTCTAACGTTTAGAGACATCCCAGCTTTCCCTAGCCCAGAGTCTGCAGCCCCTCCACCATCCCACATCCTCCCCCTCCCTTTCCTCGTGAACCCCAGTCGCGCCTCTGCCTTCTCAAACCCCTCCACCATCCCACACCCTCCTCCTGCCCTTCCTCATGAACCCCAGTCGCGCCTCTGCCTTCTCATCCCTGCGCACCACACAGGCTCACTCGTGCCCAGTGAGTGCTGAGGCTGCTCTGCACGTGGAGTGTTGGCCCTGTGGGCAAGGGCTGGGCTCTTGGAGGTAGGGGAGCTACAGGGGCGACTGGGAGGAGGATGTTGTGTTACACACGCATCAGAGTTAACTTTGCAGTGAGAGCGGCCTTGCTGCGGCCAAAGAACATGGAAAAGCATGAGTGGGGTGATGTGCCTTAAAGCATCAGACACTTGGGCCTCGGGCATCAGGAGCCAGCCACAGGGATGTCTGGGGAAATGGCGTTCCATGAGATGCAAGCACACAAGAATGCACTTGGCACATCTGGGGAACAGCAGGCAGCTGATATCACTGGGCCCACCCCGCACCAGGGAGGATGGAAGCAGGTGAGGAGCTAGACCACACTGAGGCGGTGGTCGGGACTCGGGGTTTGCTCAGTGAGCCGTTCACTATGTGCAGGGGCAGTTCCCCGTCTGAATTTAGGTGACGACACTCAGGTCCAGCCTTGCCAGTCTCAGCCTCCGGTCTCCGTTCCCCCTCTGCAGAGGCCACATTGTCTGCTGCACGTGATCATGAGGGGTTGTGAAGTGCTTGCCCCATCAGTAGCCATGTGTGCATGTGTAAATACCATCCTCTGTGTGCCCTGGAGGCTGTCCTTCAGATAGCATGTACAGGTGGCAGCATAGGGCCTGTCCCTACTGAGAGTGCAGGGAACTCAGCACCGTCAACTCCTCGACCCTGCAGGTCAGATTATCCTTGTAGAGGCCCCCTGGATGGCACCAAGATCGGCCCTGGCAAGTAGGTGACCCTGACTTCAGAGCCCTTGCCTGAGGGCCTGGCCTGGCAGCTCTGCTGTTAGAAGCAGGAGGTGTGCAGGGGGTGGGGAGCAGCCCAGCCTCTGTGATCTTCTCCATGGCAGGATCTCCCAGCAGGTAGAGCAGAGCCGGAGCCAGGTGCAGGCCATTGGAGAGAAGGTCTCCTTGGCCCAGGCCAAGATTGAGAAGATCAAGGGCAGCAAGAAGGCCATCAAGGTAGTCCCCATACCCCTGTGTCCTGAGGCTACTGGGCAGTCCCTCCATTTCCCCGTGCCTCTGAGGCTGCCCAGTCTCTGCCCTGCTGCCCACCTGTACCTTGAGCTTTCTTCTCGCCCAGGCTTCCAACTCCACCCTCTCCTGCCAAGCAATCCTAGCCCTCTGAGCCTCTTGGGGCCCCCTCAGACTTGTCCCTGTGTCCACAGGTGTTCTCCAGTGCCAAGTACCCTGCTCCAGAGCGCCTGCAGGAATATGGCTCCATCTTCACGGGCGCCCAGGACCCTGGCCTGCAGAGACGCCCCCGCCACAGGATCCAGAGCAAGCACCGCCCCCTGGACGAGCGGGCCCTGCAGGTCTGCTGGCCGCGCATATAGCCTGTCACACACCAGGAGGACTGGATACTGGGGAGGAGCCGGGGCCACCATAGGGTTCTGTCCCCCAGAGGAGGCTGACTGGGATGGGATGGCAGCTGATTAGGCCCAGCACCAAATATTCACCATCCGTTGGCCATCCTGGCCCTCCCAGGAGAAGCTGACTTTCCTGTGTGCGTGAGCACCAAGCCGGAGCCCGAGGACGATGCAGAAGAGGGACTTGGGGGTCTTCCCAGCAACATCAGCTCTGTCAGCTCCTTGCTGCTCTTCAACACCACCGAGAACCTGTATGGCCAGAGGGCAGGGCCGAGGGGTGTGGGCGGGAGGCCCGGCCTGGCTTAGTGGGGACCCAGGGCATCAGACACAGGTACAGCACATAGGCCAGGAGCCAGGGGGTGACTGGGGTGGCTCGGCTCGGGAGGCCTGGGACCCCACAGTGCACGCTGTGCCCCTGATGATGTGGGAGAGGAACATGGGCTCAGGACAGCGGGTGTCAGCTTGCCTGACCCCCATGTCGCCTCTGTAGGTAGAAGAAGTATGTCTTCCTGGACCCCCTGGCTGGTGCTGTAACAAAGACCCATGTGATGCTGGGGGCAGAGACAGAGGAGAAGCTGTTTGATGCCCCCTTGTCCATCAGCAAGAGAGAGCAGCTGGAACAGCAGGTGGGAGGGGTGGGACAGAGGTGGAGACAGGTGCAGTGACCCAGGGCCTTGCCAGAGCTCCTCTCCAGTCAAGGCTGTTGGGCCCCTTATTCCACCCATGGGAGGTGCACACAAGGTCTTGTTGGCTGCCCCTGCAGGTCCCTGTCACCTCTCACATGTCCCTGCCTAATCTTGCAGGTCCCAGAGAACTACTTCTATGTGCCAGACCTGGGCCAGGTGCCTGAGATTGATGTTCCATCCTACCTGCCTGACCTGCCCGGCATTACCAACGACCTCATGTACATTGCTGACCTGGGCCCCGGCATTGCCCCCTCTGCCCCTGGCACCATTCCAGAACTGCCCACCTTCCACACTGAGGTAGCCGAGCCTCTCAAGGTAGGTGAGCTGGGTTCTGGGATGGGAGCTGGGCCGGGGACCTCCCTGGTCACACACCTTCTTTCCTAGACACCCCACACTTTGTGTTTCAGACCTACAAGATGGGGTACTAACACCACCCCCACCGCCCCCACCACCACCCCCAGCTCCTGAGGTGCTGGCCAGTGCACCCCCACTCCCACCCTCAACCGCGGCCCCTGTAGGCCAAGGCGCCAGGCAGGACGACAGCAGCAGCAGCGCGTCTCCTTCAGGTGGGAGCAGCTCTTTGAGGCCACCTGATTTCTGGCGTGCTCAGTGCACTCGGGTGGATTTTCTGTGGGTTTGTTAAGTGGTCAGAAATTCTCAATTTTTTGAATAGTTTCCATTTCAAATATCTTGTTCTACTTGGTTCATAAAATAGTGGCTTTCAAACTGTAGAGCTCTGGACTTCTCACTTCTAGGGCAGAGGGAGCCTGAACAAGTGAGGCTCTGGGTTCCCCATTCCTAATTAAACCAATGGAAAGAAGGGGTCTAATAACAAACTACAGCAACACATTTTTCATTTCAGCTTCACTGCTGTATCTCCCAGTGTAACCCTAGCATCCAGAAGTGGCACAAAACCCCTCTGCTGGCTCATGTGTGCAACTGAGACTGTCAGAGCATGGCTAGCTCAGGGGTCCAGCTCTGCAGGGTGGGGGCTAGAGAGGAAGCAGGGAGTATCTGCACACAGGATGCCCGCGCTCAGGTGGTTGCAGAAGTCAGTGCCCAGGCCCCCACACACCGTCTCCAAAGGTCCGGCCTCCCCAGCGCAGGGCTCCTCGTTTGAGGGGAGGTGACTTCCCTCCCAGCAGGCTCTTGGACACAGTAAGCTTCCCCAGCCCTGCCTGAGCAGCCTTTCCTCCTTGCCCTGTTCCCCACCTCCTGGCTCCAGTCCAGGGAGCTCCCAGGGAAGTGGTTGACCCCTCCGGTGGCCGGGCCACTCTGCTAGAGTCCATCCGCCAAGCTGGGGGCATCGGCAAGGCCAAGCTGCGCAGCATGAAGGAGCGAAAGCTGGAGAAGAAGCAGCAGAAGGAGCAGGAGCAAGGTGAGCGGGCCCTGGAGCTTGCAGTCGGAGGGCCTTGGGCAAGATCGCCTCCTCCCCTCCAGCCCTGAGTCCACCGGGTGCTTTCTGCCCACCCCCTGCTCTTGCCAGCTGGCCCCTGCTTCCCCTAGGGCACATGCTGGAAGCCCTGGGCCGCCACCAGAGGGTCCTCAGCCCTCCTGCCTGGGCTATGGCTCCTTCCTGGTTTGGGAGCCATAGTGGAGCTTTCCTCTCTAAGCTCACCCAGCTCAAACTGACAGGAGAATCTTCTTCGACTGCCAAGAGCGGTCCAAGGCAATGGTCAGCCACTGCAGCCTCCTGAGATATTTTTAGAGACTGGACCTGAGGCCTCTGGAGGCTACTGATGATGCCTGCTGTGAACGCAGACACTGGTGTGATGTGATGCCTGCGCCTGCAGCGGCAGTGCCCTGGGCACTATGGTTTTGAGCTTGTACCCAGCGCTGCTTTTGCCTTGCTCTGTGACCCCAGGCAAGCTGCCTCACCTCTCTGGGCCAGTTTCCCCATCGTACAGTGGTGCTGCACACCCTGGCCCTGTCCCCGAGGTGGCTGGGAGGTGGCTCCTCAAACAGCCGCTGTCTCATCAGTGCCCGGTGCTGGGTCAGGGATCGACTGAGGCTCTGAGCTAACTGGGAAACACAGTGGCCTTGGAGGGCTGGGGAGTGTCATGGGGGTGGGGACAGGGAGTCACCGGTCGCATGTGACTGAACTCTTCACCCCAGTCTGTGGCTTTCCCGTTGCAGTGAGAGCCACGAGCCAAGGTGGGCACTTGATGTCGGATCTCTTCAACAAGCTGGTCATGAGGCGCAAGGGTAGGAGGCAGGGCCGCTGCCCGCCCTGGGCCGGCACCTTGTAATTCTGTCCTGCCTTTTTCTTCCTGTATTTAAGTCTCCGGGGGCTGGGGGAACCAGGGTTTCCCACCAATCACCCTCACTCAGCCTTTTCCCTCCAGGCATCTCTGGGAAAGGACCTGGGGCTGGTGAGGGGCCCGGAGGAGCCTTTGCCCGCGTGTCAGACTCCATCCCTCCTCTGCCGCCACCGCAGCAGCCACAGGCAGAGGAGGACGAGGACGACTGGGAATCCTAGGGGGCTCCATGACACCTTCCCCCCCAGACCCAGACTTGGGCCGTTGCTCTGACATGGACACAGCCAGGACAAGCTGCTCAGACCTACTTCCTTGGGAGGGGGTGACGGAACCAGCACTGTGTGGAGACCAGCTTCAAGGAGCGGAAGGCTGGCTTGAGGCCACACAGCTGGGGCGGGGACTTCTGTCTGCCTGTGCTCCATGGGGGGACGGCTCCACCCAGCCTGCGCCACTGTGTTCTTCTCTTAAGAGGCTTCCAGAGAAAACGGCACACCAATCAATAAAGAACTGAGCAGAAACCAACAGTGTGCTTTTAATAAAGGATCTCTAGCTGTGCAGGATGCAAACGTCTCGGGGTCAGTGACTGCCTCCTGCCCCTGTTGGTCCCTAGGCAGTGGGGGCAGAAGCTCCCAGCTGACCTGTTTCTCTGGGATGAGAGGGAGGAGAGAAGGGCAGTCAGCAGGGGCAGCTGTTGCAGATGGGAGGAATAGTCTCCCACAAAAAAGGTTTCAGTGACAGACACGGGGTCTCTAAAAATAGTCATGCTGAGAGCCTAATGGCCCTTGGCACAATTGCTGGTGTTGGGGTAGAAGATGTCTTGGAGTTTGCTCAAGTGGTTGAGAGGGAGGGAGGTGCCATCGACTTGGAGGAACTGGCACCAAGCCAGGGAGATAGAAATCCAGGCAAGGCTGTGGGGCAGGTTAGGGAGCAAGGCTGCAGGAGTGACTCAGGAAGAAGGTGGGGGAGGTGACAAGCCCCCAGGCAGGGGCCCTGTGGCCATGGGGATCTTCTTAAATTGAGACTAGGGGGTGAATAGTCCAGGGCAGCTAACTTTAGTTATTATAGAAAGGGCAGTAGCAGATGGGTCTGCTCTGTCTCGCTTCTAAGAAGGTGGGCAGGACAAATGGCAGCCTCCTGCAGAGGCCCAGTGAGAAGCCTGGCCCTCGGCCACGCAGGATGGAAGACAGATTGGATTCCACAGAGGGGAGCTGCCCTGGGAAGATCTCACGGATGGCCAGGACCCACCATTTCTTCGGGATTCCCCTGTTTTCTCCAACGGGCACTAATGCCTGTGCCTGGGTCCTGGCAACACTCTGGACTCCACACTCTCCTGGGTTTCACCTTTGTAGCAGGATCCCTGCAGACCAGGCCCATGACAAACACCGTCTCCAGCGGGCAGAGCAAAGGAAGGGCACAGCGCCAGGCAGTGCTGCAGCTGCCTGTCAGGAAGAGGCCTACTTCTGGTGAAACTGGGCAGACAAAAGGCAGTGAGAAATGTGATCTCGGGGTGGTGGAGGCTCTAGGGAAAGGAAAAGGCAGGAGTGAACTTCCACACAGCAGCAATGGCAGAACCAAAGGTGGCTTTGACCTCCACGAGGGCTCAGATCCAGGCCAACAGCGTGTCCAGGACAGGGTGCCGGGTGTATCACTGGTCCAGGAGCACTATGCTGGCAGAATCCCTTTGGTGCCTGATGGCCCTGCCTTCGTGGGAACAGAGGCTAAGGCTTTGAGTTACAGCTGCCTCCCCAACAGTGCATCCCCTTCTCCTTCCTCAGCCTCAGGTAGGAGACAGGGCAGGCAACCTCACTTTCCTCTTCTCCCCTTCTCCAGCCCCTGTCTGTCGACCCAGTTGGAGGCAGCCAGGCTTGCCTATGGACTGGTTGACAGCCTTCATGCACAGGTTCTCCACCAGAGCCTTTCTTGGGGGCCCCTGGCCTGGGCTCTGAGCTGGGAGTGAAGGGGATGACCCATGCAGACTGTTTGCTGCTTGTAGCTTTCCCTGGGAAAGACTCTGCCAGGCCTTGGAGCCAGACTAGGAGGCTTTATAGGCCACCGCAAGCAGCAGGGCTCCAGATGACATCACAGGGAAGATCAAGAGGGTGTGGAGGGGCATCGAAGCCTCTCCAGGAGACAGGAGACGCCGGCCCCGTAGAGCCCTAGGGGCGACGCCACTCCCACTCACTGTCTACTCTCCTCTCACCTCTGCAACACTGGGGACACTCACAAGAGTGTGATCCAAGTCGGCCGTCGTCTTCTGCAGCTCTGGAGACCTGATGCTGGGGAAGGGCATGCCTGGCATCACCACACACCTGGGGGGAGACAGGAGCCTGGGGCCGGTGGGCCCACACATCACCAGCTGCTCCGTTCTACCATTTCTTCAGCCCTCTTGGCTGTGCCTGCGGCTCTGCCCCTCCCGTCTCTGCACCTACCACCCAGAGAGGGCTTGTTGAGCTCAGAGATCCCACCTAGGCCAATCCACTGGGTTCTGTGGCAGCGATGGCCTGCCTGATCTTCCACCTGCTCTCCCAGGGCCAAAGCCAGACCTGCTGAGCCCCTCCCTCCAGCCGGCTGGTCTGAGCAGTCACAGCCCGGCTTTGGGCTCCGATGGCAGCAGACGGCAGGTAGGGGTCCAGCTGCTGGAGCGAGGGCCGGCCACGTATCACAGCCAAGGAGATGAGCACAAGCACTACTTACTGGCCTAGGTTGTGAGAGAAGTTGATGCTCTCACTCATCTTTCCTCCAATCTTTCCCCTATGCCTGGTTGTGGTATTAAGTTACATGCAGACAACAGGGGCCAGAAGATGAACAATGGCCCATCCCACTCTAGGCATGGCTCCTCTCCACAGGAAAACTCCACTCCAGTGCTCAGCTTGCACCCTGGCACAGGCCAGCAGTTGCTGGAAGTCAGACACCTGCAGATGAAGACCACAGCATCAAGACCCTGTGACCTCTCAAAGGCCCGGTGGAAAGGACACGGGAAGTCTGGGCTAAGAGACAGCAAATACACATGAACAGAAAGAAGAGGTCAAAGAAAAGGCTGACGGCAAGTTAACGAAAAGAAAAATGGTGAATGATACCCGGTGCTGGCAATCTCGTTTAAACTACATGCAGGAACAGCAAAGGAAATCCGGCAAATTTGCGCAGTCATTCTCAACACCGGCCATGCAGCAAAATCATCAGTGGAAATTTAAAAAAATACACATGGCCAGGCCCCAGCCCAAATCACTAATAAGAATCTCCAGGGCTTCACCTGTTAGACTGGCAAAAATCCAAAAGTAAACACTTTGTGGAGAAACAGGCATTCCTAGACATTGCTGGTGGGATACAGAACAGTACAATTCTGATGGTAATCAGTTCACAAATTAAACATATTTATTTTTTACTTTTAAACCCAGGAATCCCATATTTAGGAGTCTACTGAGACCAAACAGCATATGCTCCGGGTGTTTCCCTATAATCCGCCAGTACTGTTGGAGCAAGAGGGCCCGGCAGTGTCCCCAGCTGCCAGCAGGTGGGCGTGCTGCCACTACACCTTGAGCAAGAGGACCCTGCAATGTCCCTAGCTGCCAGCAGGCGGCGTGCCACCACTATACAGTAAGCAAGAGGGCCCTGCAGTGCCCCGGCGCCAGCAGGGGGCGCTGGCCACCACTCTAAGCAAGAGAGCCCTGCAGTTGCCCTAGTCGCCAGCAGGGGGCGCCCTGGCACAGCACCGTGAGCAAGCGGGTCCTGTAGTGCCCGGCTGCAAGCAAGGGGCGGTCGATCCCGGCTTTTCGGATTACTGAGGTTCTACCCGTCTCTGCGCCGCGCCACCGTGACGTGAGTTTCTGCGCGTGCACGGCGCCACCCTCCCCCCGCCCCAGCCCGGCGCCGTGCGACTTTGCTCCTGCAACACACGCCCCCCCAACCCCCGCCCGTAGGCTTGCGTCTCTGCGCCTGCGCCACGCCTCCACCCCTGGACGCGCTAGCATGTGTCTCTGCGCCTGCGCCGGCGCGGTGCGCCTCTCTGCGCCTGCGCCACGCCTCCACCCCTGGACGCGGTAGCATGTGTCTCTGCGCCTGCGCCGGCGCGGCGCGCCTCTCTGCGCCTGCGCCACGCCTCCACCCCGGACGCGCTAGCATGTGTCTGCGCCTGCGCCGGCGCGGCGCGCCTCTCTGCGCCTGCGCCGGCGCGGCGCGCCTCTCTGCGCCTGCGCCGGCGCGGCGCGCCTTTGCGACGGCGGAGTTCCGTTCTCCTCAGCACAGACCCGGAGAGCACCGCGAGGGCGGAGCTGCGTTGTCCTCTGCACAGATTTCGGTGGTACTGCGAAGGCGGAGCAGAATTCTCCTCAGGTCAGACCCGGGCGGGCGGGCTGAGGGTACCGCGAGGGCGGAGCTGCGTTCTGCTCAGCACAGACCTGGGGGTCACCGTAAAGGTGGAGCAGCATTCCCCTAAGCACAGACGTTGGGGCCACTGCGTGGCTTTGGGACAACTCGGGGCGCATCAACGGTGAATAAAATCTTTCCCGGTTGCAGCCGTGAATAATCAAGGTCAGAGACCAGTTAGAGCGGTTCAGTGCGGAAAACGGGAAAGCAAAAGCCCCTCTGAATCCTGGGCAGCGAGATTCTCCCAAGCTAAGGCGAGGGGCTGCATTAAAGGGTCCAGTTGCAGCATCGGAACGCAAATGCAGCAGTCCTAATGCACACATGATACCCAAAATATAACACCCACGTTGCTCATGTGGTTAGGGTTAGGGTCAGGGTCGGGGTCGGGGTCGGGGTCAGGGTCACGGTTAGGGGTTAAGGGTTAAGGGTTAGGGGTTAAGGGTTGGGGGTTAAGGGTTAGGGTAGGGTTAGGGTTAGGGTTACGGGTTAGGGTTAGGGTTAGGGTTAGGGTTAGGGTTAGGGTTGTTAGGGTTAGGGTTAGGGTTAGGGTTGTTAGGGTTAGGGTTAGGGTTAGGGTTAGGGTTAGGGGTTAGGGGTTAGGGTTAGGGGTTAGGGGTTAGGGGTTAGGGTTGGGGTTAGGGTTAGGGTTAGGGTTAGGGTTAGGGTTAGGGTTAGGGTTAGGGTAGGGTTAGGGTTAGGGTTAGGGTTAGGGTTAGGGTTAGGGTTAGGGTTAGGGTTAGGGTTAGGGTTAGGGTTTAGGGTTAGGGTTAGGGTTAGGGTTAGGGGTTAGGGTTAGGGTTAGGGTGCTGCATGTTTTCCCCGGGCACAGCAGGCTAATAATCCTGTTACAAAGAGAAATGCTGTACATTTCGAGCAGTGCTGGCCCCTGGGGCTCACCGCGGCCTTTTCTAAGTGCTTACAGACTCTCTGTTTAATAATCCATTCCAGAAAATTTTCCAGGGCTCATTGTTGAGCTTGGTGTTCGCAACTTTGAGTGATCAGCCCTTCTCCTTTGTGGGAGCACCAGGACAGAGCAGCCTTTGTCCCTCCCCAGTCTCAGTTCCCTCCCACTGCCCCTGTGGACCTCGAATGCAGAGCTTATGCACCTACCGAAGGTCGTGTCAGCACCCAAAGCAGAATGAGGCTGCCCTGGGAACTAGGGTCAATTAAGACAGCTTGTGCTGGAGGACCCTTTACAGCAGATGAAGGCCTCTCCCCAGCCAGAAAAGATGGAGCACACGCTGGGTGGTGGCCCCGCTTCCTCACTGGAAGGAGATGGTGCTCTTCTTTTTTCTTTCTGAATTGTGGCCACCTTCATACCAGTCTGTCATGGAACACTTAAGCCGCTTGAGTGCCTGCTGGTACTCCCAGCCCTGCCATGCCTGAGCCCCCTGCACACAAGGAGCCAGGAGTAATCAGGGCAGACCCTTTAGGGCATGGGGACTTCTGGATTGTGAAATTGGCTCTCTGGGGGCCAAGGCCTTCTAACGTTGGTGGAAGTGGCTTTGGCTTATTGGGTCGGATTCTAGGCCATTCATTCTAACGTTTAGAGACATCCCAGCTTTCCCTAGCCCAGAGTCTGCAGCCCCTCCACCATCCCACATCCTCCCCCTCCCTTTCCTCGTGAACCCCAGTCGCGCCTCTGCCTTCTCAAACCCCTCCACCATCCCACACCCTCCTCCTGCCCTTCCTCATGAACCCCAGTCGCGCCTCTGCCTTCTCATCCCTGCGCACCACACAGGCTCACTCGTGCCCAGTGAGTGCTGAGGCTGCTCTGCACGTGGAGTGTTGGCCCTGTGGGCAAGGGCTGGGCTCTTGGAGGTAGGGGAGCTACAGGGGCGACTGGGAGGAGGATGTTGTGTTACACACGCATCAGAGTTAACTTTGCAGTGAGAGCGGCCTTGCTGCGGCCAAAGAACATGGAAAAGCATGAGTGGGGTGATGTGCCTTAAAGCATCAGACACTTGGGCCTCGGGCATCAGGAGCCAGCCACAGGGATGTCTGGGGAAATGGCGTTCCATGAGATGCAAGCACACAAGAATGCACTTGGCACATCTGGGGAACAGCAGGCAGCTGATATCACTGGGCCCACCCCGCACCAGGGAGGATGGAAGCAGGTGAGGAGCTAGACCACACTGAGGCGGTGGTCGGGACTCGGGGTTTGCTCAGTGAGCCGTTCACTATGTGCAGGGGCAGTTCCCCGTCTGAATTTAGGTGACGACACTCAGGTCCAGCCTTGCCAGTCTCAGCCTCCGGTCTCCGTTCCCCCTCTGCAGAGGCCACATTGTCTGCTGCACGTGATCATGAGGGGTTGTGAAGTGCTTGCCCCATCAGTAGCCATGTGTGCATGTGTAAATACCATCCTCTGTGTGCCCTGGAGGCTGTCCTTCAGATAGCATGTACAGGTGGCAGCATAGGGCCTGTCCCTACTGAGAGTGCAGGGAACTCAGCACCGTCAACTCCTCGACCCTGCAGGTCAGATTATCCTTGTAGAGGCCCCCTGGATGGCACCAAGATCGGCCCTGGCAAGTAGGTGACCCTGACTTCAGAGCCCTTGCCTGAGGGCCTGGCCTGGCAGCTCTGCTGTTAGAAGCAGGAGGTGTGCAGGGGGTGGGGAGCAGCCCAGCCTCTGTGATCTTCTCCATGGCAGGATCTCCCAGCAGGTAGAGCAGAGCCGGAGCCAGGTGCAGGCCATTGGAGAGAAGGTCTCCTTGGCCCAGGCCAAGATTGAGAAGATCAAGGGCAGCAAGAAGGCCATCAAGGTAGTCCCCATACCCCTGTGTCCTGAGGCTACTGGGCAGTCCCTCCATTTCCCCGTGCCTCTGAGGCTGCCCAGTCTCTGCCCTGCTGCCCACCTGTACCTTGAGCTTTCTTCTCGCCCAGGCTTCCAACTCCACCCTCTCCTGCCAAGCAATCCTAGCCCTCTGAGCCTCTTGGGGCCCCCTCAGACTTGTCCCTGTGTCCACAGGTGTTCTCCAGTGCCAAGTACCCTGCTCCAGAGCGCCTGCAGGAATATGGCTCCATCTTCACGGGCGCCCAGGACCCTGGCCTGCAGAGACGCCCCCGCCACAGGATCCAGAGCAAGCACCGCCCCCTGGACGAGCGGGCCCTGCAGGTCTGCTGGCCGCGCATATAGCCTGTCACACACCAGGAGGACTGGATACTGGGGAGGAGCCGGGGCCACCATAGGGTTCTGTCCCCCAGAGGAGGCTGACTGGGATGGGATGGCAGCTGATTAGGCCCAGCACCAAATATTCACCATCCGTTGGCCATCCTGGCCCTCCCAGGAGAAGCTGACTTTCCTGTGTGCGTGAGCACCAAGCCGGAGCCCGAGGACGATGCAGAAGAGGGACTTGGGGGTCTTCCCAGCAACATCAGCTCTGTCAGCTCCTTGCTGCTCTTCAACACCACCGAGAACCTGTATGGCCAGAGGGCAGGGCCGAGGGGTGTGGGCGGGAGGCCCGGCCTGGCTTAGTGGGGACCCAGGGCATCAGACACAGGTACAGCACATAGGCCAGGAGCCAGGGGGTGACTGGGGTGGCTCGGCTCGGGAGGCCTGGGACCCCACAGTGCACGCTGTGCCCCTGATGATGTGGGAGAGGAACATGGGCTCAGGACAGCGGGTGTCAGCTTGCCTGACCCCCATGTTGCCTCTGTAGGTAGAAGAAGTATGTCTTCCTGGACCCCCTGGCTGGTGCTGTAACAAAGACCCATGTGATGCTGGGGGCAGAGACAGAGGAGAAGCTGTTTGATGCCCCCTTGTCCATCAGCAAGAGAGAGCAGCTGGAACAGCAGGTGGGAGGGGTGGGACAGAGGTGGAGACAGGTGCAGTGACCCAGGGCCTTGCCAGAGCTCCTCTCCAGTCAAGGCTGTTGGGCCCCTTATTCCACCCATGGGAGGTGCACACAAGGTCTTGTTGGCTGCCCCTGCAGGTCCCTGTCACCTCTCACATGTCCCTGCCTAATCTTGCAGGTCCCAGAGAACTACTTCTATGTGCCAGACCTGGGCCAGGTGCCTGAGATTGATGTTCCATCCTACCTGCCTGACCTGCCCGGCATTACCAACGACCTCATGTACATTGCTGACCTGGGCCCCGGCATTGCCCCCTCTGCCCCTGGCACCATTCCAGAACTGCCCACCTTCCACACTGAGGTAGCCGAGCCTCTCAAGGTAGGTGAGCTGGGTTCTGGGATGGGAGCTGGGCCGGGGACCTCCCTGGTCACACACCTTCTTTCCTAGACACCCCACACTTTGTGTTTCAGACCTACAAGATGGGGTACTAACACCACCCCCACCGCCCCCACCACCACCCCCAGCTCCTGAGGTGCAGGCCAGTGCACCCCCACTCCCACCCTCAACCGCGGACCCTGTAGGCCAAGGCGCCAGGCAGGACGACAGCAGCAGCAGCGAGTCTCCTTCAGGTGGGAGCAGCTCTTTGAGGCCACCTGATTTCTGGCGTGCTCATCGCACTCGGGTGGATTTTCTGTGGGTTTGTTAAGTGGTCAGAAATTCTCAATTTTTTGAATATTTTTCCATTTCAAATATCTTGTTCTACTTGGTTCATAAAATAGTGGCTTTCAAACTGTAGAGCTCTGGACTTCTCACTTCTAGGGCAGAGGGAGCCTGAACAAGTGAGGCTCTGGGTTCCCCATTCCTAATTAAACCAATGGAAAGAAGGGGTCTAATAACAAACTACAGCAACACATTTTTCATTTCAGCTTCACTGCTGTATCTCCCAGTGTAACCCTAGCATCCAGAAGTGGCACAAAACCCCTCTGCTGGCTCATGTGTGCAACTGAGACTGTCAGAGCATGGCTAGCTCAGGGGTCCAGCTCTGCAGGGTGGGGGCTAGAGAGGAAGCAGGGAGTATCTGCACACAGGATGCCCGCGCTCAGGTGGTTGCAGAAGTCAGTGCCCAGGCCCCCCACACACCGTCTCCAAAGGTCCGGCCTCCCCAGCGCAGGGCTCCTCGTTTGAGGGGAGGTGACTTCCCTCCCAGCAGGCTCTTGGACACAGTAAGCTTCCCCAGCCCTGCCTGAGCAGCCTTTCCTCCTTGCCCTGTTCCCCACCTCCTGGCTCCAGTCCAGGGAGCTCCCAGGGAAGTGGTTGACCCCTCCGGTGGCCGGGCCACTCTGCTAGAGTCCATCCGCCAAGCTGGGGGCATCGGCAAGGCCAAGCTGCGCAGCATGAAGGAGCGAAAGCTGGAGAAGAAGCAGCAGAAGGAGCAGGAGCAAGGTGAGCGGGCCCTGGAGCTTGCAGTCGGAGGGCCTTGGGCAAGATCGCCTCCTCCCCTCCAGCCCTGAGTCCACCGGGTGCTTTCTGCCCACCCCCTGCTCTTGCCAGCTGGCCCCTGCTTCCCCTAGGGCACATGCTGGAAGCCCTGGGCCGCCACCAGAGGGTCCTCAGCCCTCCTGCCTGGGCTATGGCTCCTTCCTGGTTTGGGAGCCATAGTGGAGCTTTCCTCTCTAAGCTCACCCAGCTCAAACTGACAGGAGAATCTTCTTCGACTGCCAAGAGCGGTCCAAGGCAATGGTCAGCCACTGCAGCCTCCTGAGATATTTTTAGAGACTGGACCTGAGGCCTCTGGAGGCTACTGATGATGCCTGCTGTGAACGCAGACACTGGTGTGATGTGATGCCTGCGCCTGCAGCGGCAGTGCCCTGGGCACTATGGTTTTGAGCTTGTACCCAGCGCTGCTTTTGCCTTGCTCTGTGACCCCAGGCAAGCTGCCTCACCTCTCTGGGCCAGTTTCCCCATCGTACAGTGGTGCTGCACACCCTGGCCCTGTCCCCGAGGTGGCTGGGAGGTGGCTCCTCAAACAGCCGCTGTCTCATCAGTGCCCGGTGCTGGGTCAGGGATCGACTGAGGCTCTGAGCTAACTGGGAAACACAGTGGCCTTGGAGGGCTGGGGAGTGTCATGGGGGTGGGGACAGGGAGTCACCGGTCGCATGTGACTGAACTCTTCACCCCAGTCTGTGGCTTTCCCGTTGCAGTGAGAGCCACGAGCCAAGGTGGGCACTTGATGTCGGATCTCTTCAACAAGCTGGTCATGAGGCGCAAGGGTAGGAGGCAGGGCCGCTGCCCGCCCTGGGCCGGCACCTTGTAATTCTGTCCTGCCTTTTTCTTCCTGTATTTAAGTCTCCGGGGGCTGGGGGAACCAGGGTTTCCCACCAATCACCCTCACTCAGCCTTTTCCCTCCAGGCATCTCTGGGAAAGGACCTGGGGCTGGTGAGGGGCCCGGAGGAGCCTTTGCCCGCGTGTCAGACTCCATCCCTCCTCTGCCGCCACCGCAGCAGCCACAGGGCAGAGGAGGACGAGGACGACTGGGAATCCTAGGGGGCTCCATGACACCTTCCCCCCCAGACCCAGACTTGGGCCGTTGCTCTGACATGGACACAGCCAGGACAAGCTGCTCAGACCTACTTCCTTGGGAGGGGGTGACGGAACCAGCACTGTGTGGAGACCAGCTTCAAGGAGCGGAAGGCTGGCTTGAGGCCACACAGCTGGGGCGGGGACTTCTGTCTGCCTGTGCTCCATGGGGGGACGGCTCCACCCAGCCTGCGCCACTGTGTTCTTCTCTTAAGAGGCTTCCAGAGAAAACGGCACACCAATCAATAAAGAACTGAGCAGAAACCAACAGTGTGCTTTTAATAAAGGATCTCTAGCTGTGCAGGATGCAAACGTCTCGGGGTCAGTGACTGCCTCCTGCCCCTGTTGGTCCCTAGGCAGTGGGGGCAGAAGCTCCCAGCTGACCTGTTTCTCTGGGATGAGAGGGAGGAGAGAAGGGCAGTCAGCAGGGGCAGCTGTTGCAGATGGGAGGAATAGTCTCCCACAAAAAAGGTTTCAGTGACAGACACGGGGTCTCTAAAAATAGTCATGCTGAGAGCCTAATGGCCCTTGGCACAATTGCTGGTGTTGGGGTAGAAGATGTCTTGGAGTTTGCTCAAGTGGTTGAGAGGGAGGGAGGTGCCATCGACTTGGAGGAACTGGCACCAAGCCAGGGAGATAGAAATCCAGGCAAGGCTGTGGGGCAGGTTAGGGAGCAAGGCTGCAGGAGTGACTCAGGAAGAAGGTGGGGGAGGTGACAAGCCCCCAGGCAGGGGCCCTGTGGCCATGGGGATCTTCTTAAATTGAGACTAGGGGGTGAATAGTCCAGGGCAGCTAACTTTAGTTATTATAGAAAGGGCAGTAGCAGATGGGTCTGCTCTGTCTCGCTTCTAAGAAGGTGGGCAGGACAAATGGCAGCCTCCTGCAGAGGCCCAGTGAGAAGCCTGGCCCTCGGCCACGCAGGATGGAAGACAGATTGGATTCCACAGAGGGGAGCTGCCCTGGGAAGATCTCACGGATGGCCAGGACCCACCATTTCTTCGGGATTCCCCTGTTTTCTCCAACGGGCACTAATGCCTGTGCCTGGGTCCTGGCAACACTCTGGACTCCACACTCTCCTGGGTTTCACCTTTGTAGCAGGATCCCTGCAGACCAGGCCCATGACAAACACCGTCTCCAGCGGGCAGAGCAAAGGAAGGGCACAGCGCCAGGCAGTGCTGCAGCTGCCTGTCAGGAAGAGGCCTACTTCTGGTGAAACTGGGCAGACAAAAGGCAGGTGAGAAATGTGATCTCGGGGTGGTGGAGGCTCTAGGGAAAGGAAAAGGCAGGAGTGAACTTCCACACAGCAGCAATGGCAGAACCAAAGGTGGCTTTTGACCTCCACGAGGGCTCAGATCCAGGCCAACAGCGTGTCCAGGACAGGGTGCCGGGTGTATCACTGGTCCAGGAGCACTATGCTGGCAGAATCCCTTTGGTGCCTGATGGCCCTGCCTTCGTGGGAACAGAGGCTAAGGCTTTGAGTTACAGCTGCCTCCCCAACAGTGCATCCCCTTCTCCTTCCTCAGCCTCAGGTAGGAGACAGGGCAGGCAACCTCACTTTCCTCTTCTCCCCTTCTCCAGCCCCTGTCTGTCGACCCAGTTGGAGGCAGCCAGGCTTGCCTATGGACTGGTTGACAGCCTTCATGCACAGGTTCTCCACCAGAGCCTTTCTTGGGGGCCCCTGGCCTGGGCTCTGAGCTGGGAGTGAAGGGGATGACCCATGCAGACTGTTTGCTGCTTGTAGCTTTCCCTGGGAAAGACTCTGCCAGGCCTTGGAGCCAGACTAGGAGGCTTTATAGGCCACCGCAAGCAGCAGGGCTCCAGATGACATCACAGGGAAGATCAAGAGGGTGTGGAGGGGCATCGAGCCTTTTCCAGAAGACAAGAGACGCCGACCAGTAGAGCCCTAGGGGCGACGCCACTCCCACTCACTGTCTACTCTCCTCTCACATCTGCAACACTGGGGACACTCACAAGAGTGTGATCCAAGTCGGCCGTCGTCTTCTGCAGCTCTGGAGACCTGATGCTGGGGAAGGGCATGCCTGGCATCACCACACACCTGGGGGGAGACAGGAGCCTGGGGCCGGTGGGCCCACACATCACCAGCTGCTCCGTTCTACCATTTCTTCAGCCCTCTTGGCTGTGCCTGCGGCTCTGCCCCTCCCGTCTCTGCACCTACCACCCAGAGAGGGCTTGTTGAGCTCAGAGATCCCACCTAGGCCAATCCACTGGGTTCTGTGGCAGCGATGGCCTGCCTGATCTTCCACCTGCTCTCCCAGGGCCAAAGCCAGACCTGCTGAGCCCCTCCCTCCAGCCGGCTGGTCTGAGCAGTCACAGCCCGGCTTTGGGCTCCGATGGCAGCAGACGGCAGGTAGGGGTCCAGCTGCTGGAGCGAGGGCCGGCCACGTATCACAGCCAAGGAGATGAGCACAAGCACTACTTACTGGCCTAGGTTGTGAGAGAAGTTGATGCTCTCACTCATCTTTCCTCCAATCTTTCCCCTATGCCTGGTTGTGGTATTAAGTTACATGCAGACAACAGGGGCCAGAAGATGAACAATGGCCCATCCCACTCTAGGCATGGCTCCTCTCCACAGGAAAACTCCACTCCAGTGCTCAGCTTGCACCCTGGCACAGGCCAGCAGTTGCTGGAAGTCAGACACCTGCAGATGAAGACCACAGCATCAAGACCCTGTGACCTCTCAAAGGCCCGGTGGAAAGGACACGGGAAGTCTGGGCTAAGAGACAGCAAATACACATGAACAGAAAGAAGAGGTCAAAGAAAAGGCTGACGGCAAGTTAACGAAAAGAAAAATGGTGAATGATACCCGGTGCTGGCAATCTCGTTTAAACTACATGCAGGAACAGCAAAGGAAATCCGGCAAATTTGCGCAGTCATTCTCAACACCGGCCATGCAGCAAAATCATCAGTGGAAATTTAAAAAAATACACATGGCCAGGCCCCAGCCCAAATCACTAATAAGAATCTCCAGGGCTTCACCTGTTAGACTGGCAAAAATCCAAAAGTAAACACTTTGTGGAGAAACAGGCATTCCTAGACATTGCTGGTGGGATACAGAACAGTACAATTCTGATGGTAATCAGTTCACAAATTAAACATATTTATTTTTTACTTTTAAACCCAGGAATCCCATATTTAGGAGTCTACTGAGACCAAACAGCATATGCTCCGGGTGTTTCCCTATAATCCGCCAGTACTGTTGGAGCAAGAGGGCCCGGCAGTGTCCCCAGCTGCCAGCAGGTGGGCGTGCTGCCACTACACCTTGAGCAAGAGGACCCTGCAATGTCCCTAGCTGCCAGCAGGCGGCGTGCCACCACTATACAGTAAGCAAGAGGGCCCTGCAGTGCCCCGGCGCCAGCAGGGGGCGCTGGCCACCACTTCTAAGCAAGAGAGCCCTGCAGTTGCCCTAGTTGCCAGCAGGGGGCGCCCTGGCACAGCACCGTGAGCAAGCGGGTCCTGTAATGCCCGGCTGCAAGCAAGGGGCGGTCGATCCCGGCTTTTCTGATTACTGAGTTCTACCCGTTTCTGCGTCGCGCCACGTGACGTGAGTTTCTGCGCGTGCAAGGCGTCACCCTCCTCCTCCCTGCCCTTCCTCATGAACCCCCAGTCGCGCCTCTGCCTTCTCATCCCTTGCGCACCACACAGGCTCACTCGTGCCCAGTGAGTGCTGAGGCTGCTCTGCACGTGGAGTGTTGGCCCTGTGGGCAAGGGCTGGGCTCTTGGAGGTAGGGGAGCTACAGGGGCGACTGGGAGGAGGATGTTGTGTTACACACGCATCAGAGTTAACTTTGCAGTGAGAGCGGCCTTGCTGCGGCCAAAGAACATGGAAAAGCATGAGTGGGGTGATGTGCCTTAAAGCATCAGACACTTGGGCCTCGGGCATCAGGAGCCAGCCACAGGGATGTCTGGGGAAATGGCGTTCCATGAGATGCAAGCACACAAGAATGCACTTGGCACATCTGGGGAACAGCAGGCAGCTGATATCACTGGGCCCACCCCGCACCAGGGAGGATGGAAGCAGGTGAGGAGCTAGACCACACTGAGGCGGTGGTCGGGACTCGGGGTTTGCTCAGTGAGCCGTTCACTATGTGCAGGGGCAGTTCCCCGTCTGAATTTAGGTGACGACACTCAGGTCCAGCCTTGCCAGTCTCAGCCTCCGGTCTCCGTTCCCCCTCTGCAGAGGCCACATTGTCTGCTGCACGTGATCATGAGGGGTTGTGAAGTGCTTGCCCCATCAGTAGCCATGTGTGCATGTGTAAATACCATCCTCTGTGTGCCCTGGAGGCTGTCCTTCAGATAGCATGTACAGGTGGCAGCATAGGGCCTGTCCCTACTGAGAGTGCAGGGAACTCAGCACCGTCAACTCCTCGACCCTGCAGGTCAGATTATCCTTGTAGAGGCCCCCTGGATGGCACCAAGATCGGCCCTGGCAAGTAGGTGACCCTGACTTCAGAGCCCTTGCCTGAGGGCCTGGCCTGGCAGCTCTGCTGTTAGAAGCAGGAGGTGTGCAGGGGGTGGGGAGCAGCCCAGCCTCTGTGATCTTCTCCATGGCAGGATCTCCCAGCAGGTAGAGCAGAGCCGGAGCCAGGTGCAGGCCATTGGAGAGAAGGTCTCCTTGGCCCAGGCCAAGATTGAGAAGATCAAGGGCAGCAAGAAGGCCATCAAGGTAGTCCCCATACCCCTGTGTCCTGAGGCTACTGGGCAGTCCCTCCATTTCCCCGTGCCTCTGAGGCTGCCCAGTCTCTGCCCTGCTGCCCACCTGTACCTTGAGCTTTCTTCTCGCCCAGGCTTCCAACTCCACCCTCTCCTGCCAAGCAATCCTAGCCCTCTG